>NC_000013.11:80395034-80547875 GCF_000001405.40 Homo sapiens
TCATATATTGTATAGTTACTCTACTATGCTATTGAACACTAGAACTTATTCTTTCTATCTAACTGTACCTCTATATCTGCTAACCAACCTTTCTTCATGCCCTCCCATCCCATACCATTCTCAGCCTCTGGTAACTATCATTCTATTCTCTACCTCCTTGAACTGATAATATTTAGATGAGACTTTGGTCTTGAACTGATGTTTTAATAGGTGGAGACACTTGGGGAGGCTGGGATGCATTAAATGCATTTTGCATGTAGGGTGAATGTGAATCTTTGGTAGCCAGAAGGCAGACTGATAGGTTGAAAAATGGCCCCCCGAAATATCCACTTCCTCATCTCCAGAACCTGCAAATGTTATACGGCAAAAGGTACTTTGCAAAAGTGATTATGCTAAGGATCTTGAGATGACACTAGGGAGGATATCCAGATGAACAACAAAAGTAACCACAAGTGCCTTTATAAGAAAAGAGCAGAAGGAGATTTGGTTACACAGAGAAGAGGGTGATGTGATTATGGAAGCAGAGTATTGGAGTGATGCACTTTGAAGATGGAGGAAGATGCCACAAGTTAAAGAATATTGGCAGCCACTAGAAGCTAAAAAAAGATAGGTGAATGGATTCTCTCCTTAGAATCTTCAAGAAAAATTAACTCTGTGAATATTTTGAATTTAGCACAGTGAAACAGATCTCAGAATTCTTACCTCCAGGAATATAAGATAAATTTGTGTTTTTTAAGTCTATAATTCTTTGGTAATTTGTTGCAAAAGCAATAGAAAGTTTGTACAAATATTGTTGTATTAAATCGTCTAAAATTTTGATTGGAATTTGTGCTTCTGTGTTCATTAAAGATATTAGTCTATAGTTGTTTTTCTCATATATTTATTTTATTTTATTTTTTTAAAATTATAACAATGGGCCGGGCGTGGTGGCTCATGCCTGTAATCCCAGCACTTTGGGAGGCTGAGGCAGGTGGATCACGAGGTCAAGAGATTGAGACCATCCTGGCTAACACGGTGAAACCCGTCTCTACTAAAAATACAAAAAATTAGCCAGGCATGGTGGCAGGCGCCTGTAGTCCCAGCTACTCAGGAGGCTGAGGCAGGAGAATGGTGTGAACCCGGGAGGCGGAACTTGCAGTGAGCCGAGATTGTGCCACTGCACTCCAGCCTGGGTGACAGAGCGAGACTCCGTCTCAAAAAAAAAAAAAAATTATAACAATGTATTATTTCATCAGTTTCAAGGGTATAATGCCAGAGATTTTTTCCACTTTATTAATTTTATTTTACTGTGGCAAGAACACTTAACGTAACATATACCCTTTTAAGAAATTTCAAAGTGTAAAATGCAGTAGTGTTGACTATAGAAGCATACCTTGGTGATGCCGCAGGTTTGATTCTACACCATCTCAAAAACATTAATATCACAATAAAATATCATACTAATTTTTTGGTTTCTGGTGCAAATAAAAGTATGTTTACATTATACTGTAGTCTATTGTGTGCAATAGTCTTATGCCTAAAAATGCACATACCTTAACTTAAAAATACTTTATTGCTAAACAAATGTTAAATATCATCTGAGTAAGGTGTAATCTTTGTGCTTGTGGAGGGTCTTGCCTCAATGTTGATGACTGCTGACTGATCAGAGTGGTGATGTTGAAGGTTGGGGTGGCTGTGGAAATTTCTTAAAATAAGACAACAATAAGGTTTGCCACATCAATTCACTCTTCCTTTCATGGAAGAATTCTCTGAAGCAAAGCTATGTGATAGTGTTTTACTCACAGTAGAACTTCTTTCAAAACTGGAGTCAGTCCTCTCAAACCCTGACACTGCTTTATCAGCTAAGTTTATGAAATAGTCTAAATCCTTTGTTGTTATTTCAACAATGTGCACAGTATGTTCATGAGAAGTAGATTCCATCTCAAAAAACCAATTTCTAGGTCAGGCGCAGTGTAATCCCAGTGCTTTGAGTAGCTGAGGTGGGAGAATTGCTTCAGGCCAGGAGTTTGAGATTAGCATAGGCAACATAGTGAGACTCCTGTCTCTACCGAGAAGAATAATAAGAAAAAGGAGAACAAGAAGAAAGAAGGAGAAGGCGAAGGAGAAGGAGAAGGAGAAATCACTTTCTTTGAAGATTGCAGCAATTCTATCACACCTTCAGGCTGTACTTCTAATTCTAGTTCTCTTGCTACTTCCACCACATTTGCAGTTACTTCCTCCACTAAAGTCATGAGCCTCTCAAAGTCATCCATGAGGATTGGGATCAATTTATTTCAAACTTCTGTTAATGCTGATATTTGGACCTCCTCCCATGAATCATCAATGTTCTTGATGGCATCTAGAATGGTGAATCCTTTCTATAAGGGTTTCAATTTACTTTGCCCAAATCTATCGGAAGAATCACTATCTATGGCAGCTATGGCCTTACAAAATGTATCTCTTAAATAATAATATTTGAGAGTCAAAATGACTTTTTGATCCATGGGCTGCAGAATGGATGTTTGTTGGAGACTGAAAGAATGAGGGTCATGACCAACCCAGTATACCACTGGAGGCTACATGAGTAAACAGCAAACTGTTCTCATGAAAGCAGGTTGTTGGCAAACTTGGCAAACTACGTCTGCCACCCAGAAGGAATGCTGAGGGCAGTCACACCTCAAGCACAAGTGTTTCCTGTGATTAGGCATAGCTGAAGCCTGTTGGCAATAATGTGAACCTGTGATCAATTAAGCAGCTGACCAATTGTTACCTCCTCCTCCCTGCTCTTTCTACCCAATAAATACAAAGGGCTGTAGAAGCTCAGGGAGGCCGCCTTTGCTCACTAGAAGCAGGGATCCCTCTTCTTCCCCTGGCCCCTTTCTTTAAAACAGTTTCTTTTAAGTTTTCATTTCTGTGTTCGTCCTCCTTCATTCAGTCCCATGGTAACTGTGGCAAACCATGGCAAACTGCAGCAAGTGGCACCCAAACAGAGACCGTGGGGACAGATAGAGATTAGTAGAGACTAGCAGAGACTTGCAGGGACAGATAGGGACAAACAGGGACAGATAGGGTCCTATAGGGACATGAACGAAGAAGGTCTGCTGGAGCAGAAGTAGTAAACCCAGATGAACCAGAAACCCCATTACAAGTCTGCCAGCTGCAATATAAGGTCACTGCTCTAAAGAGGTACTGGTCAGTGCCCTAAAGAGGTATAGAGAATGGGAAGTTTTTGAATCAGGGTAACATGGGGAAGAACTTGGCTATTTCTTTTCTCTTTTTTGTTTGGAGTTTGGTTTGTACTGTCTTTGTCATTATTTCAGGGTTTGAGAGAATTTTTTGATCCACCTACAGCACCTATTGAGGGTAGTGAACAGGAGAGGGAGGATGAAAATTGGTTTGTACTGTCTTCTTTTGTGGCTACAGAAAGCCTAACTTTAACTTTTGAGAGTGCAAACATGGATTGTAAACATGCACTGGCACCTGTGAGATGTACAAAAATCTTGGGAGGTTTTCTCAGAGCTTGTCAAGATGTGGGAACTGAGCTTCATTACTCTACAATATTGGCTCAATAATGACTAATTTGATAGTTGACAGATCTAAAAGGAGCCAAGGGTCAAGCCTTAAAGTGGGAAAATGTTATAAGTGTAGAAAAATTGGACATTTTAAAAAAAGAATGCCGTCAGACCTCTGGGCAGAAGGGATCTTATAACACAGTCCCCTCCTAACAGAAAAAAAAGCCAGGATTTTGCCCTTGTTGCAATAAAGGAAATCACTGGGCTAATCAATGCCACTCAAAATTTCATCAAAATGGCACCCCCCTGTAGGGAAACAAGAAGGGGGCCTGGACCGGGGCACCTCAAACAATGAGGGCACTCCTCCTCCAGGCCACAACTCCGTTTCAGGGGTGAGTTTCTGGAGGCACGTCGATTCCCTCTCCCCGGGAACACCTGGAAGCGCGGGATTAGATCTCCCAGTCAGAGAACGGGTTACGTTAATTGGAGGAAACAAACTCACTAAGATTCCCACTGGTATTTGGGGACCTTTGCCAATAGGATACATGGGATTAATTTTGGGTAAAAGTCATCTTAACTTACTGGGCATTACTGTAGTCCCAGGAGTTGATTTTGATTGGGAAGGAGAAATTCAGGTGGTGGTGGTGGTGTCACAAGATCTTTGGGTTTTTGAACCAGGGAGAATATATTGCTCAACTGTTGCTTATTCCCTGTAAATTGCACCCTTCTCCACAAAAGGAGAAAGGAGAGAATCAAGGGATTTGGAAGTACAACTACACAGGAAATTTATCTATCACAACCCATAGCATCTAGTAGACCCACTTGTGCAGTGCAAATTGAAGAAGAGTTTTGTGGGCTTATGGATGCAGAAGCAAGAGGCTGATCTCTCATGGTAATAGATCGTGAGGATTTTTTTTTTTTTTTTTTTTTTTTTGCTATAGTGTTGCACGAGAAAAATAAGCTTTGATTTGTTTTCTTTGTTTTCTCTGTGCCTTCTGTTAATCAGAAAGAGCCTGCCTCTCATTATCAATGGAAAGTTTTACCGCGTGGTTAACCAAAGAGGAAGAAGCTGAATTGCAGCTTGTGGAGCAGATGCATCAGCAACAGCATGCCCCCAGCTACAGCCTCAAAAGCCTTTGCCTTTTTTCAATTAATTTGCTAATGTGGGGATGAGGGTACGCTTGTGTTTTTGCAGGAGATGAACAAACTCTATGGGTGCCCTTAAGGTGTGTACGACCATGGAATAGGAGACTGGAGGGACCCATGCAACCCAACTGTGGGCCTGGTTCCCCCAGTACGAGCTGAATGCAAAGACAGAACGAACCAGCAATTGAAGCCTGCACATTTTGCAATTACCTTTCTCAATTAATTTAAAAACACAAAGGGAGAGATGTTGGAGACCGCAAGAATGAGCGTTGTGACCAACTCAGTATACCACTGGAGGCTATGTGAGTAAAGAGCAAACTGTTCTTACAGGTTGTTGGCAAACTGACAAACGGTGTCTGCCACCCACAAGGAATGCTGAGGGCAGTCACGCCCCAAGCACAAGTGTTGCTTGTGATTAGGCACATCTGAAGCCTGTTAGCAATAATGTGAACCTGTGATCAATTAAGCAGCTGACCAATCGTTACCTCCTCCTCCCTGCTCTTTCTACTCAATAAATAAAAGGGCTGTAGAAGCTCAGGGTGGCTGCCTTTGCTCACTAGAAGCAGGGATCCCTCTTCTTCCCCTAGCCCCTTTCTTTAAACTGTTTCTTTTAAGTTTTCATTTCTGCATTTGTCTGCCTTCATTCAGTCCCGTGGTAACCATGGCAAACCGCAGTAGATGTTGTGTTAGCAGGTATGAAAATAACATTAATCTCCTTGTACATATTCATCAGAGTTCTTGGGGGACCAGATACACTGTTGATGAGCCATAATATTTTGAAAAGAATCTTTTTTTTTTTTTTTTTTTTTGAGCAGTAAGTGTCAATATTTGGCTTACACTATTCATTAAACCATGCTGTGAACACGTGTTCTGTCATCCAGGCTTTGTTATCTCATTTATAGAGCATAGGTAGAATAGATTCAGCTTAGTTCTAAAGGGCTGTAGGATTTTCAGAATGGTAAACAAGCATTGGCTTCAGTTTAGTCACCAGCTGCATTAGTCCCTAGCAAGAGAATCAGCCTGTGCTTTGAAACTTTGAAGCCAGACATTGACTTCCCCTCTCTAGTGATATAAATCCTAGATGGCATCATCTTCCACTATAAGGCTGTTTCATCTACATATAAATTCTCTTTTTTAATGTAGCCACCTTCATCAATTATCTTAGCTACATCTTCTGGATAACTTGCTGTAGCTCCTACATCAACGTTTGCTGCTCCACCTAGCACTTTTATGTTATGGAGATGGCTTCTTTTACTTTAACCTCACGAACCAACCTCTGCTAGCTTCCAGCTTTTCTTCTGCAGCGTTCTCACACCTCTCACTTTTATGAAATTGAAGTAAGTTAGGGCCTTGCTCTGGATTAGGCTTTGGCATAAGAGAATGTTGTGGCTGGTTTGATCTTCCATTCAGATCACTAAAGCTTTCTTCATATCAACGATATGGCTGTTTCACTTTCTTATCATTCATGTGTTTACTGGAGTAGTATTTTTAGTTTCCTTCAATAACTTTTCCTTTGCACTCACAACTTGACTAAGTGGTTGTTGCAAAGGTTTAGTTTTTGGCCTATTCCTGCTTTTGACATACTTTCCGCAATAAGCTTAACTACTAGTAGCTTTTAACTTTAAAAAAGAGATGTGAAACTTTTTTTCACTTGAACACTTAAAGGTCATTGCCAGCTTATTAATTGGCTTAATTTTAATATTACTGTTTCTTAGGGAGTAAGGAGGCTAGTCAGCACAGCAGTCAGAGCTCACATCACATTTATGGTAAGTTTGCTGTCTTTTCTTCTTTAATTTTTCAAAAATTTTTTAAAATTTAAATTTTTAAACTTTTATTTTAGGTTTAGTTTACATGTGAAGGTTTGTTACATAGGTGAACTCATGTCACAGGGGTTTGTTGTACAGATTATTTCATCACCCGGGTATTATGCCCAGCACCCAATAGTTATCTTTTCCATTCTTCTCCCTCCTCCCACCCTCCACCCTCAAGTAGACCCCAATGTCTGTTGTTCCCTTCTTTGTGTTCATGAGTTCTCATCATTTAGCTCCCACTTATAAGTGAGAACATGTGGTATTTGATTTTCTGCTCCTTTATTAGTTTGCTAAGGATAATAGCTTCCAGCTCCATTCATGTTTGTGCAAAAGACATGATCTCGTCCTTTCCTGTGGCTGCATAGTATTCTGTGGTGTATATGTATCACATTTTGTTTATCCAATCTGCCATTGATGGGCATTTAGGTTGATTCCATGTCTTTGCTGTTGTGAATAGTGCTGCAATGAACATACACATGCAAGTGTCTTTATGGTAGAATGATTTATATTCCTCTGGGTATATACCCTGTAATGGGATTGCTGGGTTGAATGGTAGTTCTGCTTTTAGTTTTTTGAGGAATCACCATACTGCTTTCCACAATGGTTGAACTAATTTACGCTCCCATCAACAGTGTATAAGTGTTCTCTTTTCTTTGCCATCTCACCAGCATCTGCTATTTTTTTTTTTTTTTTACTTTTTAATAGCCATTCTGACTGGTGTGAGATGGTATCTTGTTGTGGTTTTGATTTGCACTTCTCTAATAATCAGTGATATTGAGCTTTTTTTTCATATGCTTGTCAGCTGCATGTATGTCTTTTGAAAAGTGTCTGTTCATGTTCTTGACCCACTTTTTAATGGGGTTGTTTTTCTCTTGTAAATTTGTTTACATTCATTACAGGTGCTGGGTATTAGACCTTTGTCAGATGCATAGTTTGCAAAAATTTTCTCCCATTCTGTGGGTTGCTATTTACTCTGTTGATAATTTCTTTTGCTGTGAAGAAGCTCCTAAGTTTAATTAGATCCCATTTGTCAATTTTTGCTTTTGTTGCTATTGCTTTTGGTGGCTTTGTCATGATTGCCTAGATTGTCTTCCAGGGTTTTTGTACATTTGGGTTTTACATTTAAGTCCTTCATCTATATTTGAGTTTATTTTTCTATATAGTGTAAGGTGGGGTCCAGCTTCAAACTTCTGCATATGGCTAGCCCGTTATCCCAGCACCATTGGTTAAATAGGGAGTCTTTTCCTTATTGCTTCTTTTTGTCAACTTTGTTGAAGATCAAATGGTTGTAGGCATGTGGCTTTATTTCTGGGCTCTCTATTCTGTTCCATTGGTCTATGTGCCTGTTTTTGTAACAACAATATGCTGTTCTGGTTACTATAGTCCTGTAGTTTAGTTGGAAGTCAAGCAATGTGGTGCCTCCCACTTTGTTCATTTTGCATAGGATTGCCTTGGCTATCTGGGCTCTTTTTTGTTCCATATGAATTTATAGTAGTTTTTTCTAGTTCTGTGAAGAATGTCATTGGTAATTTGATAGGAATAGCATTGAAAATATGTACATTACTTAGGGCAGGATGGCCGTTTTAATGATATTGATTTTTTCCTATCCATGAGCACGGGATGATTTTTCCTTTGTTTCTTCTCTGATTTCTTTCAGGAGTGTTTAATTCTCATTATAGAGTTCTTTTACCTCCCTGGTTAGCTGTAGTCCTAGGTATTTTATTCTTTTTGTGGCAATTGTGAATGGGATTGTTCTCCTGATTTGCATCTTGGCTTAGCTACAGTAGGAATGCCAGTGATTTTTGTACATTAATTTTGTGTCCTGAAACTTTGCTGAAGTTGTTTACCAGCTAGCTGAAGGAGCTTTTGGGCCAAGAGTATGGGGTTTTCTAGATATAGAATCATGTCGTCTGCAAACAGAGATAGTTTGACTTCCTCTCCCTGTTTGGATGCCTTTTCTTTTTGTTGCATGATGGCTCTGGCTAGGATTTCTAATACTATGCTAAATAGAAGTAGTAAGAGAGGGCATCCTTTTCTTGTGTCGGTTTTCAAGGAAAATGTTTCTAGCCTTTGCCCGCTCAGTATAAAGTTGGCTGTGAGTTTGTTACAGATGGCTGTTCATATTTTAATGTATATTCCTTCAGTACTTAGTTTGTTGAGAATTTTTAACATAAAGGGTGTTCAATTTTATTGAAAGCCTTTTCTGTGTCATTTGAGATAATCATATGATTTTTGTCTTTAGTTTTGCTTATGTGATGAATCACATGTATTGATTTGCATATGTCGAACCAATCTCGAATCCCAGGGATGAAGTCTACTTGATCATGGTGGATTAACTTTTTGATGTGCTGCTGGATTTGGGTTGCAAGTATTTTTTTGAGGATTTTTGCATTGATGTTCACCAAAGATATTGGCCTAAAGTTTTCTTTTTTTGTTGTGTCTCTGCCAGGTTTCAGTACTAGGATGATGCTGGGCTCATAGAATGAGTTGGGGAGGAGTCCCTTCTCAATTATTCAGAATAGTTTTAGTAGGAATGATACCATATCTTTGTGCATCCAGTAGAATTTGGCTATGAATTTATCAGGTCCTAGGCTTTCTTTTTTGGTTGGTAGGCTATTTATTACTAATTCCATTTTGGAGCTCGTTATTGGTCTGTTTAGGGAATCAATTTCTTCCTGGTTCAGTCTTGAGAGGGTGTATGTGTCTAGGAATTTATCCATCCCTTCTAGGGTTTCTAGTTTATGTGCATAGAGGTGTTTGTAGTAGTTTCTGATGGTTATTTTTATTTCTGTGGGGTCAGTGGTAACATTCCCTTTATCATTTCTAATTGTGTTTATTTGAATCTTCTCTTTTCTTTATTAATCTAGTTAGTGGCCTATCTTATTAATTTTTCCAAAAAACCAACTGATGGATTTGTTGATCTTTCAAATGGTTTTTAGCATCCCAATTTCCTTCAGTTCAGCTCTGATTTTGGTTATTTCTTGTCTTCTGCTAGCTTTGGGGTTGATTTGCTCTTGCTTCTTGAATTCTTTCAGTTTCAATGTTAGGTTGTTAATTTGAGGTCTTTCTAACTTTTTGATGTGGGTATTTAGTGCTATGAATTTCCCTCTTAACACTGCCTTAGCTGTGTCCCAGAGAGTCTGGTATGTTGTATCTTTGTTCTCATTCATTTCAAATAACTTCTTGAATTCTGCCTTAATTTCATCATTTACCTAAAAGTCATTCAGGAGCATGTTGTTTAATTTCCATGTAATTTCATGGTTTTGAGCAATTTTCATAGTCTCCTGACTTACATTTTTATTGTGCTGTGGTCTGAGCCATGCATTTGATATGATTTTGGTTATTTTACATTTGTTGAGAATTGTTTTATGTACAATTATGTGGTTGGTTTTAGAGCATGTGGCAATGAGAAGAATGTATATTCTGTTGTTTTGAGGTGGGGAATTCTGTAGAGGTCTATCAGATCCATTTGATCTAATGTTGAGTTCAAATCCTGAATATCTTTGTTCATTTTCTGCCTTGATGATCTGTGTAATACTGTTAGTGGAGTGTTGAGGTCTCCCACTATTATTGTGTGGTAGTCTATGTCTCTTTGTAGGTCTCTAAGAACTTGCTTTATGAATCTAGGCGCTCCTGTGTTTCATGCATAGATACTTAGGACAGTTAGGTCTTCCTATTGAATCCATAATCATTATGTAATGTCTTTGTGTGTTGACCTTTGCTGGTTTAAAGTCTGTTTTGTCTGAAATTAGGATTGCAACCCCTGCTTATTTTCTGTTTTCCATTTGCTTGATAGATTTTCTTCCATTCCTTTGAGCCTATGGGTGTCATTACGTGTTATATGGGCCTCTTGAAGACAGCATACCATTGAGTCTTGCTTTTGTATTTTTATTTTTTTGAGATGGAGTTTTGCTCTTGTTGCCCAGGCTGGAGTGCAGTGGTGCAATCTCGGCTCACTGCAACATCCACCTCCCGGGTTCAAGCAATTCTCCTGCCTCAGCCTCCCGAGTAGCTGGGATTACAGGTACCCGCCACCATGCCTAGCTAATTTTTGTACTTTTAATAGAAACGGGGTTTCACCATATTGGCCAGGCTGGTCTTGAACTCCTGACCTCAGGCAATCCACCCACCTTGATCTCCCAAAGTGCTGGGATTACAGATGTGAGCCACCATGCCCAGCCGGGTCTTGCCTTTTACAGAGCTTGCCATTTTATGCCTCTTAAGTGGAGCCTTTAGCTGATTTACATTCAAGGTTAGTCTTAATATGTGTGGATTTGATCCTGTCATTGTGTTATTAGCTGGTTATTATTCTGGCTTGTTTGTGTGGTTGCTTTATAGTATCACTGGTCTGTGTATTTAAGTGTGTTTTTGTATTAGCTGGTAGCAGTTTTTCCTTTCTATATATAGTGCTTCTTTCAAGATCTCCTGTAAGGCAGGTCTGGTGGTAACAAACTCCCTCAACATTTACTAATCTGAAAAGGATCTTATTTCTCCTTTAAAAAGTTTTTTGGCTGAATATGAAATTCTTGGTTGAAGATTTTTTTAATTTAAGAATGTTGAATATAGATCACTAATCTCTTCTGGCTTGTAGGGTTTCAGCTGAGAGGTCAGCTGTTAGCCTGATTGGAGTTCCCTTTGTAGGTCACCTGCCTGTTCTCTCTAGCTACCTTTAACACTCTTTCATTTCAACCTTGGAAAATCTGATGATTGTATGTCTTGGGGCTGATCTTCTTGTATAGAATTTTGTAGGAGTTCTCTATCTTCTGAATTTCACTATTGTCCTCTCTAGCAAGGTTTGGGAAGTTTTCTTGGACAATATCCTGAAATAAGTTTTTCAAGTTGTTTGCTTTCTCCCCCTCCCTTTCAGGGATTTCAGTGATTCATAGATTTGGCCTCTTTATATAATCCTATATTTCTTGGGGGGTTTTGTTCATTCTCTTTTATTTTTTCTTTATTTTTCTTCTTTTTTATTTTGACTGTCTTATTTCACAGAGCCAGTCTTCAAGTTCTGAGATTCGTTCCTCAGCTTGGTTTATTCTGTTAATACTTGTGATTGCATGGAAATCCTTGTATTATTCAGCTCTGCCAGATTCATTAGGTTCTTTTTTATGCTGGCTGTTTCATCCTTTAGCTCCTGTATTTTATTTTGGTTCTCAGTTTCCCTGGATTGGATTTTGCCATTCTCCTGAATCTCAATGATCTTCCTTCCTATCCACATTCTGAATTCTATTTTTGTCTTTCCAGCCAGCTCAGCCTGGTTAAGAACTCTTGTTGGAGAACTGGTGTGATCATTTTGAGGACATACGACACTGTGGCCATTTGAGTTTCCAAAGTTCTTGTGTTGGTTCTTTCTCATCTCTACATGTGGGTGTTCCTTTAACTGCAGTGTAGATTGAGTACAGTCAATAGACTTGTTTTCTGGATGCTTTCACTGGGCCAAGGTTTTGTCTAGGGTGTGTATTTGAAGCTGACTTCTTGTCTCTGGTTTCAGAGAGGGGCATGTTAGTGAGGTATTTTTCGTGCTGACACTTTGGGGTGTGATCCAGTAGGTGTTATTTATGTGTATTTGTCAGTTGTAGACTCTTGCTCAGTTGTGTGGCCCCTCTCTGTTTTTTCAGAATTGCAGCCATGTTCCCTCCAAATGCTCTGAAAGTATGGGTTCCCCTCCTCTTTGAGTGCTGGCTGTAGATCATGGCTGGGTACTCCTGGGCTGCCCACTGCAGCTCAGGGGTGATCTTAGTGGGTTTCTTTTTTTTTCTTTCCTCAACTTGGAGGCAGCAGAAGGGACCTTAGTAGTGGTTTGTGGCCAAGGCTCCTTTGCTTGTCTCCTGGGGGCTCCACCCCAGAGAGATGCAGATCAGCAATCACTCAATGTAATCAGGTGAGAATGGGCCCACATTTGGGGTTCCCTGTCAGATGACAAGCAGCAGGGATGGGTGAGATTTATGGGAGACAGGCTGGCCTCCTGTCCTTGGGTCGACTGCAGCTTGTTAGAGGTGTGGATAAGGCACTTGGGGTCTTTGCTCCTTCATTAGTCCAAGGGTAGCAAGTGCAGTTCCGCTGCAGAGGCAGTGGCAGAGCCTTTTAGTTTCCCCTGGGAGATCTGCCCAGGGAGTTGCAGAGCTGCTGCTGGCTCAGTAGCCCTGACGGGGTGGTTGGAGGACCTGCCCAGTGAGGAGATATGGGAACAGACACCCATGTAACAGCCTGGCCACTTTTCTGTAGGGCTGCTGTGGTATGCTTGGGCCTGCTCCAGTCCTTGGTCACCTCAAATTTTCCAGTACCTGGAGGTATCAACAATGAATGCTGCAAAACAACAAGATGGTGGCCTGCCCTTTTCTCTGGAAGCTCCATTCCTGGGAGGTACAGCCTTGTTGCTGGCCCAAACACACCTGTGGGAGGTGGCTGGAGATCACCTTGTTTGGGAGGTCCCACCCAGTGAGGAGGAAAGGGATCAGGGACCTGCTTTAAAAAGCAGTCTGGCCATGTTTTAGTACAGTAGCTGTGTTGTGCTAGGGGACTGCTTCAGCCCCAGTTGGCTTGAACTCTCCAAAGTCCGGAGGCTGAAATGGCTAAATCACCCAAACAGCAAAGATGGTGGCCCACCCCTTCCTCTGGGACCTTCATCCCAGGGAGGTTTCAAATCTCTGTCAGCCAGAAAATCCCAGCAGCGGTGGCTGGAGACCCTGCTTTGGAGGTCTTGCACAGTGATTAGAAATGGGATTTGAGACTCGCTTAAAAAAGTCTAGCCACATGTTCCTAGTGTGGCCACAGCTATGCTGTGCTGCAGTACTGCTTCTGCCCCGCCTCAGCTTGTACTCCATCTCCAAAGCCCGATGGCTGAACAGCTGAAATGGCTAAGTTGTTCAAACAGCAAAGATGGTGGCCTGCCCCTCTCCCTGGGAGCTCCATCTCAGGGAGGTGCAACACCACCTGGTGGCTGGTTGGAATTCCAAGCCAGTGGGTCTTATCTTGTGAGGTGCCATGGAAGTGAGGCCTGCAGACTGTGGCTGCTCAGTACCCTGAGTTCAGCCACTTTCATGTGCCTGAGCAGCTGCTCTGCTGAGACTCCATGTAGCTCTGTGTGTCAGACTGAAGGCCTTGGTAGAATGGGTTCATTAGGGGGTTTCCTGACCCAACGGTTGCAAATATGTATGGGAGAAGCGTGGGCTCCTGGGGTCGCACATTCACTAACTGCTTCCCTGGGTGGGGTGCGGGGTTACAGGAGGCTCCCCTGCCTCTGTGACACTCCTGGGTGGGCTCTTGTCCTGCCTTGCTTTTCTCTATTCTCCATGGGTCAAATTATTTCCTTGATTAGTCCCAATGGGTGTACCTGGGACTAATCTTCCTCACCTCCTGTGTTTGCTGTCTTTTAAGAGTGCAGTTAGTGGTGCTCCAAAACGGTTACAATAATAACATCGAAAATCACTGATCATAGATCTCCATAAGACATAATAATAATAATGAAAAGGTTTGAAATGTTGTGAGAATTACCAAAATGGGACACAGACATAAGTGAGCACAAGCTGTTGGAAAAATGGTGTTGATAGATTGCCTTCACACAGAGTTGTCACAAACTTTCAATTTGTGACAACTTTCAATTTCATTTCTTGACCCACACTTCACGCATTTAAAATTTGAAAGATTTTTAACTTTTTAAAAAAATATTTCTTGTGTAACATTTGAAAACAGTGTAGAAAATCACAAGGAAAGAAGTGAAAGTACAAATAATCCCATCACCCAGTCTCTTTAATTTTACCTTTCTCCTAGTGGCTATAATGTTGTTTTTCTGACCATAAGAGAAATACATATTCATGATAAAGTTTTCAAATAATACAAAAAAGTATGAGGAATAGAATAAAATTGTCATAACTCCATTATCTTTAAATAACTACTGAAAATATGTGAGTGCAATTTGTTCCAGTCTTTTAATGATTCTTTTGTTTGTTTTTTTTGAGACAGCCTCACTCAGTTGCCCAGGCTGTAGTGCAGTGGCGTGACCTGGCTCACTGCAACCTCCACCTCCCAGGTTCAAGCAATTTTCCAGCCTCAGCCTCCTGAGTAGCTGGGACCTGGGACTACAGGCACGTACCACCACACCTAGCTAATTTTTGTATATTTAGTAGAGATGGGGTTTCACCATGTTGGCCAGGCTGGTCTTGAACTCCTGACCTCAAGGGATCCACCTGCCTCGGCCTCCCAAAGTGCTGGGATTATAAGCATGAGCCCCTGCACCCAGCCTTGTTCCAGTGTTTTTTACTTAACTTGGATCATGCAGTATATATGACCATATGTATATATTTTTAAATAATCTTTTTAAGGCAATTGTAGAATCACATTCAGTGTTAAGAAATAATACAAAGAGATACCATGTACTATTTAGCCGGTTTTCTTCACTGGTGTGTATAACTGTAATGGAATATCACAACTAGGTAATAACATTAATGAAGTGATACACAATATTTCTATCACCACAAGGATCTGTCATGTTGCCCTTTTATAACCCCCTCCACTTCTTCCACCTCCTATTTTCCTGTCCTTAAGTTACAGAAACCAATAACTTCTTTCATTTATATACTTTAGTCATTTCAAGAATGTTATATAAATATAATACATCCCTTTTAGGATTGACTTTTCACTCAGGATAATTCTCTAGAGATTTATCTAAGTTTATTAATAATTTGTTCCCTTTTTGCTCAGTAATATTACACAGCATTACTATATCACAATCTGTTTCACCATTAAAAGACATCTGAGTTATATTCAACTTCTGAAATGAATATGAATAAAGCTGCAATAAATATTCATTTGTAGTTTTCTTTTTTTGGTAAACACAGGTCTCCATTAGTCTAGGATAAATGCCCTGAATGAAATATCTGGGTCATATGATTGTTACACGTATAGTTTCAAAAGAAGCTGCCAAAATGTTTGGCAGAAGGGTTGTACCATTTTAAATTTTCACCAGCTATTTATGAGAAACTCCGTTTCTTTCCATCTTTGCTACCATTTGATGTTATCACTAGTTTGTGTTCTGGCCATTCTGATTAAGTGTCTCACTGGCCATTCTGATTACATATCTCACTGTGGCTTGAATGTGCATCTCCCTAAAGGTTCACAATGTTGAACATCTTTGCATCTGTTTATTTTGCATATGTGTATTCACTTTAATCTGTTCATGTCTTTGCCCATTTTCTAATTGGATAGTTTGATATTTTACTACTGAGTTTTGAGAGCTTTTTACACATCCAGATACTAGTCCTTTGTCAGATATGTAGTTTGCAAGTGTTTTCTTCCAGTCTGTTGCTTGTATTTTCATCCTTTGAACAAGATTGTTCGGTTTTTAATTTTGATGATGTCCAATTTATCAATTTTCCTTTCATGAATTGTTCTTTGGTGTCAAGTCTAACAGCTCCTAGCCTAGCCCTAGAAAATTAAGAGTTTCTCATGGTTTTTTTTCCGCAATGGTTTTATAATTTTTTGTTTTATATTTGAGTTCATATTTCATTTTAAGTAAATTTTTATATAAGGTATGAAGTTGAGGTCAAGTTCTATAGTTTTCACCTATCAATATCCAATTTTTCCAGGTTCATTTGTTGAAAAGGCTGTATATCTTAATTTTTTTTTTTGCACCTTGGTTAGCAATTGGGCATATTTGTGTGAGTCTATTCTGGGATCTTCATTCTATTCCATTGATCTATGTGTCTATACCTCCTCTAATAACATATCCTAATTACTATAGCTATAAATTAGGTTTTATAATCAGGTAGACTGATTCCTCCTACTTTTTTTTTTTCAAAACTGTTCTAGCTATTATAGTTCCTTTACCATTTCATGAGCATTTTATAATTATTGTGTCTATATCTACAAAAATATTTTCTGGAATTTTGATAGAAATTATAAAACAAAATTTTGTAAAATTATAAAAATTATAAATTAATTTGGAAGAATTTTCATCTTTACTGTCTTATAATCTGTGAAGACGATGTGTCTCTGTATTTACTTAGATCTTTCACCAGTGTTTTGTAGTTTACACCATACAAATCCTTTCCATGATATGCCAGATTTATACTTAAATATGTCATCTTTTTAAGCAGTTGTAAATGATATTTTTTTCATTTTAGTTTCCATGTATTCATTGCTAAGATGTAGAAGTGTTTTGTTTTTCTAAGTTTATCTTCTATCCTGTAATCTTGCTAATTCTCTTATTCTAGAATTAAGAAATATTTTCCTCTGATTTTTTAAATTTCTTAAATTTCCTTTTTTTTTTTTTTTTTTGAGGATGAGTCTTGCTCTGTTGCCCAGGCTTGAGTGCAGTAGCTTGATCACAGCTCACTGCAGCCTCTATTTCCCAGGATCAAATAATACTCCCACCTCAGCCTCCCAAGTAGCTGGGACTATAGCTGTGTGTCACTACACCTGGCTATATTTTGTATTTTTTGTAGAGATGGGGTTTTGCCATCCTGCTCAAGCTGCTCTTGAATTCCTAGATTCAAGCAATCCACTTACCTCAGCCTCCCAAAGTGCTGGGATTATATGTGGGAACCACATATGTCCGACCCCCTCTGATTTTCTGCCTCATCTGCAACTAGGGACAGTTTAAAAAATTATTTTCCAATCTACGTGCCTTGTTTCCTTTTCACAAATAGGATATTGACATTGATGAAGTTAAGATACATAACTTTCTGATTACCACAGGATCCTTTACTTTATCCTTTCGTAGTCACACCTCACTCCAATATGTGGCTACAATTTCTAGTGGTATGTTAAATACAGTTGACATCCTTGATCTTAGAAGTAAACATTCAGTTTTTTACTCTTAAGTTTAGCATTAATAAAAGAATAGCTTTCATTGTTAAAATATACACATTTTCATTTAGTTGTTTTCAGCGTGAGCTTTTAAGATCTCAGTTTAAAATATTACTGATTGAAAAAATAATTTTTTAAAGCAACATAGGCTAATTACGAAATCCAGAGGGAACTTTGAATGACTATGAAAATACAGCAAGATAAAGACTTTGTTGTATTTTTGCATATGATATTTAATAAAATCAAAAAGTTTCCCTCTATTCTTATTTTCTGGAGAATATTTAGCCTAAATTAGCATCAATTGATCATGCAGTTTTTCATCTTTTTTAAACCTTGTTGCATCAATTGATATGATCATGCACATCAATTTTCTGTAGCTTATTAATAGAATGGGTTCTGTTGATTAATTTTTTGACTATTAAACCAGCCTTGCATACCTGGAATAAACTCAACTTGCTCATACTATATAATTTTTTAAACTATTGTTGAATTTTATTTGCTAATTTTTTTGTTTTTTATACTGGGTCTTATTCTGCTACCCAGGTTGGAACTACAGGAATGTACCACCACCCCCAGCATTTTTTTTTTTTTTTTTTTTTTTTTTTTTTTTTTGGAGAGTTGGGGTTTTGCTATGTTACCTAGGCTAGTCTCAAACTCCTTGCTCTCACCCTTACAAAGCACTGGGATTACAAGCATGAGCCACTATGCCTGGCCTATTTGTTAACATTTTCATGAGACATTTTATGTTATATTCATGAAATATATTGATTTGTAGTTTGCGTTTTTGGGCTGTCTCTGTCTGGTTTTGGCATAAGATTACTACTACATGATAGAATAAATTGAAATTGTCTTCTCCTTCTTTATTTTCTGGAAGAGCTTATGCAGAATTTGTCTTAATTCTTCAAAGATTTGATAATTTTCCAGAACCACACCTGAACTTTGATGTGTATTTCTTGTGGAGTTTTTAAATTACAAATTCAAATTCCTTAATAGTTATAGGGCTATTCAAATTGTTTCACATTGGGTAAAGTAAAATTGTTTATGCTTTTCAAGGAATTGATCCATTTAAGTTGACAAATTTGTGTATAGAGACATTGATAGTATTAGTCATTTGATGTCTGCAAGGCCCATAGTAGTATCCTCAGTTTCATTCCTGATATTATTTCATTCCTGATATTCTTATCTATTAGTCTTGCTAGAAGTTTCCTAATTTTATTAATTGCATCACATAATCAGTTTTCTTTTAATAATTTTCTACTGTTTCTCAATTTTAAATTTTATTGATTTCTACCTTTGTTTTATCTTCTTACTTATGATTGCTTTGGCTTTACTTTGCCCTTCTTTTTATAGGTTCTTGGGGAAAGAGCTTAGATTATTTATTTGAGACTTTTTCCTGATATGAACATTTGTTACTATAAATGTCCCTATCAACATTCTTTAGCTGTGTCCCAGAAATTTTAATATACTGTATTTAAGTTTTCAGTTAGTTCAATGTACATTTAGATTTCCTTTGTGACTTCCTCTTTTAACCATGTTATTTAAAAGTGTGACTTTTACTTTCCAAGTGTTTGTATGTTTGAGGATTTTTCTGTCTTATTTCTGTTATTGATTCTAGTTTTATTCCACTGTGATCAGAGAACATACTCTACATCATCAAGTCTTCAAAACTTGTTGAAGCCTGTTTTATGGGCTAGAATATGGTCTATCTTGGTGTATGTTACAACAAATCTTGAAAGGATGTCCATTCTGCTGTTGCTGGGTGGAACGTTCCATCGGTGTTGAATAGCTCCTGTTGCTTGATGGTGTTTTTGTATTATTTTATATCCTTGTACTGATTTTCTGTAGAGTTTTATTAACTGTTGAAAGAAGGGTGTTCAAAGGGAAACATAAATCATTCTACCAAAAAGACACATGGTAGAATGATTTATATTTTCATCCCATATGTTCATCACAGCATTATTCATAACAGCAAGGACATGGAATCAACCTAGATGTCCATCAGTGGTGGACTGGATCAAATATGGTGCACATACACCATGGAATACCATGCAGCCATTACAAAAAAAAAGAAATTAAATCTTTTTCAGCAACATGGATTCAGCTGGAGGCCATTATCCCAAGTGAATTAATGTAGCAACAGAAAACCAAATGATGCATGTTCTTATAAGTGGGAGCTAAACATTGAGTACACATGGACATGAGGAGCAGAACAACAGACACCAGGGCCTACTTGAATGAGGAGATTGGGAGGAGGGTGAAGATGGAAAAACTGTCTATAGAGTACTACGCTTATTAGCTGGCTGACAAAATATTCTGCACGCCAAACCCTTGTGGCATGCAATTTACCTATGTAACAAACCTGCACATATACCTCATGAAACTAAAAATTAAAGTTGAGAAAAGAAAAAAGAGGGGTGTTGAAATCCCCAACTATAATTGTCAACTTATCTATTTCTTTTTTTATCTTATCTGTTTTTGCTTCAAATACTTTGCAGCTCTCTTTGTTTTGGTGCATTTAGGATTGCTCTGCCTCCTTGGTGTATTGAATATTTTTATCATTATGTAATGCCTTTCTCTGTCTCTGGTAATTTTCTTTGCTCTGAATTATATTTTCACTGACATTAATATACCTATACCTGCTTCCTTTTAATTGATGTTTTATATGATGTATCTTTTTAATAGTATTATTTTCAACCTACCTATATAATTATATTTGAAGTGAGTTTTTAAAAATATGTAGCATAAAGGTGTGTGTGTGTCTGTGTTTACTACTCTGCCAATCTGTTTATTAATTGGTGTATTTTGACTGCATACATTTTCATTATTTTACTTTAATCTACTTGTGTCTTTTTGTTTAAAATGCAAATCTTTTTTTTCATAATTTCAACTTTTATTTTAGATTCAGGGGTACATGTGCAGGTTTGTTACCTGGGTATCTTGTGTGATCAGAATGCAAGTCCTACAGAAAGCATTTTGTTAGATCTATTTTTTATCTAGTCTGACAATCTTTGCCCTTTAATTGTACAGTTTGATTATTTACATTTAATGTACTTATGTGGTTGGATTTTGTTTTATTATCTTACTATTTGAATTGTATTTGTTTCATCAGTTTTTGTGTGCATTTTCCCCTCTTTTCTTGCCTTCTTTTGAATACATTTTATTTAGCATTTTATTTTATCTTCTCTATTGGCTTATTGGCTATTACTTTTTTTAAGTGGTTACTCTAAGGATTGCAATATAAAAATCTGGCTTATCATAATCAAATTTCAAGCAATATTATATGACTAGAAATAGAATTCTAGTTTGGTAGCTATTTTCTTTAAAACATTTTAAATATTCCACTCTACTCTCTTCTTCCATGCACAATTTCTAACAAGAAGCTCTTGTGATTCTTATCATTGTTCCATATAGACAGTGTGTCCCCCCACTTCACACTGGCTCCTTTAAAGTTTTCTATTTGTTTTGGTATTCTCTAATTATGCCTGTGCATGGATTTTTTGTTTTAATTTATTCTTGGTGTTCTCTGGCTATTTGAATCTGTGGTTTGAAGTCTGTCATTCATTTTGGAAAATTCTCTGCCATTACTTCTTCAAATATTTCTTCTTCCCTATTCTATCTTTCTTTCTTTTCTCTCTGGTATTCCCATTACGCATATGTTATACCTTTTGAAATTTGCTAACAGTTCTTAACTATTCAGTATTTTTTATTTTTGTATTTTGCATTTCAGTTTGGGAAGTTCCTATTGCTGTATTTTCAGACTCACTGACTCTTCAGCGGTTTTTAGTCTACTGATTAGCCCATCAAAGGCATTCCTCATTTATTGCACAGAATTTAAAATAATTTCTTGTATTTCCTCTTGATTCATTATTAGAGTTTCTGTCTCTCTGTTTATGGTACTAATCTGTTCTTGCATATTGTCTCCTTTCTTATTTTTATTAGAGCTTTTTTATTTTTATTGAATATTGGCAAATTATAATGTATATATGTATAACCATAGTTATGTTTAATTGCTTTCCTAATCTCAACATCTGTATCATGTCTAAGTCTGGTTTTGAAGCTGGCTTTGTTTCTTCAGACTGTGTGGGTTTTGTTTATGTTTCTTTGACTTGTAGCATGCCTTGTATTTTCTTGTTGAAAGCTGGATATCTGGTAGTGTGGCAAATTTTACTGAGGTAAATAAGTCTTTAGTATGAGGTTTTATGTTGATTTGGCTTAGAGTTAGACTGTGCTCATTGTTTGTTGTAGAGGTACATGCCATAGGCTTTCAATTGCTCTAGTGTCCTTGTTTTTGTCTTCCCTATTGACTTTGTGCTTCCCTAAGTACTTCTCCTCAGAGAGTCTGTGTTTGCAGCTCTTTCAGCTATGACCACTGTTATGATACTGGGTCCCTGTTGATAATTGTGGCAAACTGTTGGGGGATTGTTGGGGAGGCATTCTGTAATTTTATTAAATCTCAGTCATTTAGCAGACCTGTCTCCCTGGGCTGTAAACTTCACTATTGTTTTTTAGCTTTATGGCCCTCCTTTTCTCCATCTGGTAAGACAGGAAGGTTCAAGGGGGCTGGAGAGGGAGAAATGTCCTTCCCCCAGGTCAAATAAGACTTTGGTAATGTATTTTTCACAGGTGAGTAAACCTTTTAAAAGATAATGCTCTCAGTATATCTCACAATTGTTACTCTTCCCCTGCTCTGAGCTGCAAGACGATCTTTGAGAGCTCTTCACTATGAGAACCTAGTGAAATTACTGGAGGTAAAAACCCATGAAAGTATGAGGGCCTCCCCTAACACCTTGGCTCCCAAGATTCTCTCACTTTCATGACAGTCCACACTCAGCCTCCAGCAATTTGTCAGAATTACATTTAAGTGTTCCAACTCTTTTAGGGCCCTCTTGGCCTCTGCTTTAGATAAGCAGATCTTAGCTGTGACTCTGGTGTTACTTGTTTCTCCAGATTTTAGGGTGGCAGTTTTTCCTATGACCTCAATGTTTTGATGGGTCTAAAAAAATTATACATTTTTAATTTGTTCAGGTTTTTCTATTGTAATAATGGCAGTGATTACTTCCAAGGTCTTTACATGTTGGACCTGATACCAGAAGTCTGCATCATTTTTGAAAGACATTTTGCTGGGTATAGAATTCAAATTTGATGTGTTTTTCTTTCATAACTTTAAATGTGTTCTATTATCTTCTAGCTGCTATATTTTCTCATGAGAAGTCATACTTATCTTTGTTCCTGTATATGTAGTGGGAGGTTTTGTTTGGTTATTTTTGCTCTGGGCTTCTTTTAAGTTCTCTTTATTTATGGTTTTGAGCAATATGATTCTACTGAGCCTACTATTCCTATCTTTGTTGTTAATCTCTGGGCTTTTTTTTTTCTTCTTCAACTTGTGGGTTTAGGAACTTATGGAAATTGTCTTCAATTGTTCTCTTTTGGCCTCTCTTTTATTTCTGGGACTCCAATTGCATGTATATTACCTCATTTGATATTCTACAGGTCATTGAGAATGTTTTAATTTACTTATTTTTAATTTTTCTTCCCCTCTGTACTTCATTTTGGATAGATTCTATTATTATACCTCCAGTTACAGTCTTCTTGTCTAATCCAGTGATAATCTTTGTGGGAATAATTTTCATTTAAGAAATTACAATTTTCATCATAATTTTCTAAAAGTTACATTTGCTTCTTTTTCATTTTATGTTTACTTATACTCTTTGTTTTCTTTGAAATACTTGAACATATTGAACACATTTATAATAGTATTAAAGTTCTTGTCTATTATTATTTGTATATTTGTTCCAATTTCTAAATCTGTTTCTACTTGTTTTTCTTCTGTGGGTCATATTTTCTAGCTTTTTATCTCCTAGGAATTTGATGGGTCACTTGACATCATGAATTTTACACTTTTGAGTCCTGGGTTTTGTTGTACTATTTCAAATAGTGTTAAGTTTTGTTAGGCAGACTGGATGATCTTTTTGAGGATAACTTACAGCTTTTTCTTGGGAGGAACCAGTCTGCAGCAGCCTTTACTATAGGGCTAGGATGATCCCACTACTAAGGCATGAGCATTCTTAGGTCTCTACAGAATGCCTTGTGTGTTCAATAAGGTTGTTTTCACATTGTCTTGTGGGAACTCAAGCTGTTAGTGAGTTCAGGGTGTTTTTCTGCCTGTAACACATTGGTAATTGTTTTTTTACCCAGAAATTGTTCTTTCTCTAGTATCATGAAGTATGACCATATGCATGTTCAGATTAGTTTTAGCTAAAAACTGAAACCTTATACATATTTATGCAGTTTGTTCTCTGTTTAACTCTCCTTTCTGATGTTCTGCCCCACAGTTCCTCTATGGCCACCCATAACTTCCATCCCCACTAATTAGTGTTGTCACTAGATTCTATTTACATCCTACTCCTCCACACTATGGTCTTAAAATTGCTTCAGGCAAAAAGCCAGGGCAGTTGTAGGGCACATCTTGTTTGATGTCTCTCAAAGTCACACACCTGTACTGCATGAATTCCAATATTTAAAAATAATAGTTTCTTATATTTTATATTTTTAAAAAATATTTTACTGTGCTTTTCATAGAAATTGCTGCTTCATAGGCAGAAGTGATATTCATGGTGTTCCATTTTAATGTGCATATTTTCTTTTTCCTTCAATTCGGAAAATATTTTCCATTATGTGTTTGAATATTTTTCTTAATCCATTTGTTGTCTTTAGGGAGAAACAGATATTATCAATTTCCAGTACTTTTTTTAACACTGAGGTAGCTCAATTAATGTAATTTCACTCCTTTACTGAGTTCATTCCAGAGAGCAATCAGAGATGCATCTGAGCTTTACATTTGAGATAAATAAATTAAACCTGCTTGACTTAGTTTCTACTCTTTTTCCTGTGAGAAATAAAAGCCTGCAGGAAATGAGAACTAGGAAGCAGGATAACTTTTGCTTTCCATGCAGTACGTCTTACTAGATCAGACCACCCACCTCCTATCTTGAAGAGTGAAATGAGCAAAATATTCATGAATATTGCGTATGCCTGGAAAAATATGCTTAATTCTTGTTTCAGTTAGAACATTTGGCTTTCATACTAAATTAGATAATCTAGGTTTGCATTTTTCATAAAGGTGATATTTTGCTTGACTATATTCTGATATCTTCTTTTTCATTTTGTAATAATCTTAGCAGGAAAGAAGGGTGGTATTTGTTGAGGCTCTTTGAAAGGCAAACATTTGGTGTATGGGTCAGAAACATTGCAAGATATAACAGTAGAATTTGCAGATATATGTAACATATGCAGAAGCCTTTGTTGTGGTTTTGTACATTTGAGTTTAACGTGTGGGTAGATTTTTTTGACCTTGGCAGTTGTAGAAGTTTATATTGCACTAACTTTCCATTGCTACTGCCTTTGGGCACATGCGTTTGATTTTGTCTGTAACTGTAGCTTATATGGGCTTGATGCACAAGTGGGTGAGTTTCTATAGATTTAGGAACATTTCAGGATTTAGAAAAACCTGCCCATGGGGCTGGCTGTTTGCAGCCTTATTAAGAGTGTGTAGAGACACTCTCTTAGGTGCCAAGTGTATGCAGGGCCACTGACAAGAGCTTGTAGAAGATAGAGGACTTTCCCCTTCTCCCTTCTTCTCTCTCTCTTCTCCCTTCTTCTCCCTTCTCCCTTCTCCCTTCCCTTCTCTTCCCTTCTCTTCCCTTCTCTTTCCTTCTCTTCCCTTCTCTTCCCTTCTCCTCCCTTCTCTTCCCTTCTCCTCCCTTCTCCCATATCCCTATCATCCCCCATTCTCCCCTTCCCCTTCTCCCCCCATCTCCTCATTTCTCCCCCCATCTCCTCATTTCTCCCCCCATCTCCCCACTTCTCCCACATCTCCCCACTTCTTCCCCATCTCCCCACTTCTCCCCCATCTCCCCACTTCTCCCCCCTTCTCTCCCCCCTTCTCTCCCCCTTCTCTCCCCCCTTCTCTCTTCCCTTCTCTTCTCCTTTCTCCCCCTTCTCTTCTCCCTTCTCCCCCCTTCTCTTCTCCCTTCTCCCCCTTCTCTTCTCCCTTCTCCCCCTTCTCTTCTCCCTTCTCCCCCTTCTCTTCTCCCTTCTCCCCCTTTCTCTTCTCCCTTCTCCCCCTTTCTCTTCTCCCTTCTCCCCCCTTCTCTTCTCCCTTCTCCCCCCTTCTCTTCTCCCTTCTCCCCCCTTCTCCCCACTTCTTTTTTGCCAGAGCACACAGAGGTAAACAGAACTTTGACAAAGAAACACAGATCCTAGCAGGTAGGCTGTGAACTGTTATCATAAGAAGACAACCACACCGGTAGCCAGAACCACACCTATGAGCAGATTTCAGGGATGTCTTAGAATACAGGCTTAAATAGTTTTTAATGCACACTTAGTTTTTCCTAAGCACATTAGCTGAAGTGTGATACATTAATTGCACTAATAGTTTCTATGGCCTCTTGTATCCAAGCTCTTTTAATAGTGTTCTGATTCTGGGCTTGTCCACATGAATTTCTTTGGCCACTAGGATAATAGCAAACATGATTCAAGTAGAGGTTTGAGAAAGTGCTTGCATGATTCTACTTTTTTCCTTGGAAACCTAATATTGTTATGAAAACAAGTCTGTGTAGTTTGTTGGAGGATATGAGGCCAAATGAAGCAGGAACATTTTTCTAATGATGCTAGTCTAGCTTACCTGACCTTTATTTCTTTAGCTGACTGAAAATCCATGGAAGAACCCAAATGAGAGCAGCTGAGTCCAGTTTAGATCAAAAAAAGTCCAGCTGATATGTAGATTTATAGGAAGTACTAAGTAGTTCTTGTCTTAAGCCTCTAAGTTTTAGGATAGTTTGTTACACAGCAATAACTACTACATGGATCAAAGTTCCAGAAATAGAGAAGAGGGTTCCTTAGAGGCTTCTTAAGCATTTTTGGCCACTTCTCTACTTCCACAATTGGTTCACTTAAACTGTCAGGCAGGTGAGATTTTTGGCTTTAATTCTTAATTTCAGACCCATGTAGTTAGTGCTAGACAGACTCACACAAATTCAGCTGAATCTTTCTGAGAACAGAAGAGTGAAAAAGACATTGGATAAAGAAATGATTCTGATTCTCAGGACCTGAAACATTGCATGGGTACTTTCTTCACTAAAGTTTTAAGAAATATTATTAGTTACTTCATATTATGAATCTCTTAAGATTTTTTTTTTTTGGTTAAATGTGGAGGCAAGACGAAAACTTAATTAGGAAGCTTGGCTTTATTTTTCTTCTAATTTTAAATGCCTAAGCTGTTGTTTAGCAAGAGATAACATCCATTGAGGTATAAGGCTGAAGATGCCTGGTCACAAGAATTTGTGGATGCTGTCTTACCAGATAGAAACTATATTAAGTTTAGCACTGAGGTGAATGAAGACCAAGAGGTTTTGAGTGTGTTTTAAAGAGGGAAAAAAGGTACCTCGAATAAAATCAAGAGACTGGGGCTGTCTACTGCAAATTTCTATCTTTATAAGAAGCAGCATACACATCAGGATACTCTACAGGAAAAAACAACCCCCAATCTCAGTGGCTCTTAACACAATTGTATTAGTCTGTTTGTGTTACTACAGAGGAATACTTGAGACTGGGTAATTTCTAAAGAAAAGAGGTTTAATTTGCTCACAGTTCTGCAGTCTATACAGGAAGTGGCTTCTGCTTCTAGGGAGGCCTCAGGAAACATACAATCATGGCAGAAGGCAAAGGGGAAGCAGGCACATTCTACATGGCCAGAGCAGGAGGAAGAGAGAGTGAGGGGAGATGCTACACACTTTTAAACAAGCAGATCTCCTGAGAACGCTATCATGAGAACAGCCCTAGGGGTAGGATGCTTAACCATTCATGAGAAACCACCCCCATGATTCAATCACCTTCCACCAGGCCCCACGTCCAACACTGGGGATTACAATTCAACATGAGATTTGGTGGGAGCACAGATCCAAACTGTATTATTCCACCCCTGGCCCCTCCAAATCACATGTCCTTCTCACATTGCAAAATCCAATCATGGCTTCCCAACAGTACCCCAAAGTCTTCTCATTCCAGCCCTAATTTCAAAGTCCAGTGTCTCATCCAGGTAAGGCTTGTCCCTTCTACTTATGAGCTCATAAAATCAAAAACAAGTTAGTTACTCCCAAGATACAATGAGGGTACAAATACTCCTGTTTCAAAGGGGAGAAATTGGCCAAAAGAAGGGGGCTACATGCCCCATGCACATCTGAAATCCAGCAGGACAGTCATTAAACTTTAAAGCTCCAAAATAATCTTTGACTCTATGTCCCACATCCTGGGCATACTGGTACAAGGTGTGGGCTCCTAAGGCCTTTGGAAGCTCCATCCCTGCGGCTTTCCAGGGTTTAGCCCCCACGTCTGCTTTCAAGGACTAGTGTTGAGTGCCTGCAGCTTTTCCAGGGAAGGGTGCAAGCTGCTGGTAGATCCACTCTTCTTTTGTCTGAATGTGTTAGTCCATTTTCACTCAGCTAAAAAGAACTACTTGAGATTGGGTAATTTATAAAGGAAAGAGGCTTAATTGACTCACAGTTCCACATGGCTTAGGAGGCCTACAGGAAACTTATAATCATGGTGGAAGGCAAAGGGGAAGCAAGGCACCTCTTTTTTTTTTAACTCTATTTTTTTTTTTTTTTTTTTTGAGACGGAATCTTGCTCTGTCACCCAGGCTGGAGTGCAGTGGCACGATCTTGGCTCATTGCAAGCTCCGCCTCCCGGGTTCATGCCATTCTCCTGCCTCAGCCTCCTGAGTAGCTGGGACCACATGTGCCTGCCACCATGCCCAGCTAATTTTTTTTTTTTTTTTTTTTTTTGGTAGAGACGGGATTTCACTGTGTTAGCCAGGATAGTCTCGATCTCTTGACCTCGTGATCCGCCCACCTCGTCCTCCCAAAGTGCTGGGATAACAGATGTGAGCCACCGCACCCAGGCTTTTTTAACTCTATTATACTTTAAGTTCAGGGATACATGTGCAGAACATGATGGTTTGTTACATAGGTATTCATGTGCCATGGTAGTTTGCTGTACCTACCAACCCATCTAGGTTTTAAGCCCTGCATGCATTAGGTATTTGTCCTAATGCTCTCCCTCCCCTTGCCCCCCACCCTCTGACAGGCCCCTGTGTGTGATATTCCCCTCCCTGTGTCCATGTGTTCTCGTTTTTCAACTCCCACTTATAAGTCAGAACATGCAGTGTTTGGTTTTCTGTTCCTGTGTTAGTTTGCTGAGGATGATGGTTTCCAGCTTCATCCATCTCCCTGCAAAGGACATGGACTCATTCTTTTTTACAGCTGCATAGTATTCCATGGTATATATGAAGGCACATCTTATATGGCAGCAGGAGGGAGAGAGAGAGAGTGAACAGAGGGAAAGTGCCACATTTCAAAACCAATAGATCTCATGAGAACTCACATATCACCAGAACAGCATGGGGGAAACCACCCCCATGATTCAATTGTATCCCACTAGGTCCCTCCCTCAACATGTGTGGATTGCAATTCAGATTATAATTCGAGATGAGATTTGGGTGGGGATGCAGCCATATCATATGACTGGAGGATGGTGGCCCTCTTCTCAGAACTTCACTAGGCAGTGCCTCAGTGGGGACTCTGTGTGAGGGCTCCAACCTCATATTTCCCCTTCACACTGCCCTAGTAGAGGTTCTCCATGAGGGCTCCACCCCTGCATTAACATTCAGGCATTTCCATACATCTTTTGAAATCTAGGCAGAGGCTCCCAGGCCTCAACTGTTGTGCTCTGTGTGCCCACAGGCTTAACACCATGTGGCAGCCTCCAAGGCTTATGGCCTGCACCCTCTGGAATAGTAGCATGAACTGTACCTGGACCGTTTTGAGGTATGGCTGGAGCTGGAGTGGCTAGGATGCAGGGACCAGTGTCCTGAGGCTATGAAGGGCAGCAGGGCCCTGGATCTGGCCTAGGAAACCATTCTGTCCTCCTAGGTCTCTGGGCCTGTGAGGGTAGGGGCTGCCACGAAGGTCTCTGAAATGCCTTTGGTTTTTTTTTCCCCATTGTCTTGGATATTAGCAAC
Source organism: Homo sapiens (assembly GCF_000001405.40). Classification (NCBI taxonomy): domain Eukaryota; kingdom Metazoa; phylum Chordata; class Mammalia; order Primates; family Hominidae; genus Homo; species Homo sapiens. The sequence goes on from NC_000013.11 coordinate 80,424,365, forward strand.
TGGCTTCTCTTTACTTACGCAAATTTCTGCTGCTGGCTTGCATTCCTCCCTAGAAAATGGGTTTTTCTTTTCTATTGCATGGCCAGGCTGCAAATTTTCCAAAATTTTACACTCTGATTTCCTTTTAAATATAAATTCCAGTTTCAGGTCATTTCTTTGCTCACGCATATGAGTATAGGTTGTTAGAGGCAGCCAGGGCACTTTTTCAATAAGCAGCATGGAATACTGTGCTGCTTAGAAATTTCTTCCACCAGATACCCTAAAATCATCAGTGTCAAGTTCAAAGTTCCACAGATCCCTAAAGTGGGAGTACAATGCAGACAAATTCTTTGCTAAAGCATAACAAAAGTGACATTTGCTCCACTTCCCAGTAAGATCTTCATCTCTGAGACCTCCTTAGCCTGGACTTCATCATCCATATCACTGTCAACATTTTGGTCACAAGCATTCAGCAAGTCCCTAGGAACTTCCAAATTTTCCTTCATCTACCTGTCTTCTTCTGAGCTCTCCACACTCTTCCAGCCTCTGCCTGTTACCCAGTTCTGAAGCTGCTTCCATATTTTCAGGTATCTTTATAGCAATGCCCCACTCCTTGGTACCATTTTTTTTTAAGTTAGATTATTCTTGTACTGCTATAAATACTTAAGACAGGGAAATTTATAAAAGAGCTTCAATTGGCTCACAGTTCTGCAGGCTGTACAGGAAAGCATAGCAGCTTCTGCTTTTAGGGGAGGTTTCTGGAAACTTACAATCATGATGGAAGGTGAAGGGGAAGCAGTCACATCTTACATGGCCAGAGCAGGAGGAAGAGACAGGAGGTGGTACACACTTTTAAACAACCACATACCATGAGAAAAGCGCTAGAGAGATGGTGCTAAACCATTCATGAGAAACCACCTCCATGATTCAATCACCTCCCACCAGGCCCCACCTCCATCACTGGGGATTACAATTTCACATGAGATTTGGTGGGAATTCAGATCCAAACTATATCACTTACAATCATGGCAGAGGTGAACGGAGAGACAACACATCACTTGGAGAGAGTGGGAACAACAGAGAGGGAGGAAGGAGGTCCTAGGCTTTTAAACAACCAGATTTTGCATGAACTGAGTGAGAGTTCACTTATCACCATGGGGATGGTGCTACGTTATTCATGAGGGATCTGCTCCCATGATCCACTAACCTCTCACCAGGCCCCACCTCAACACTGGGAATCACATTTCAATGTGAGATTTGTAAAGGACAAACATCCAAATGATATCAACAACTTTACTTTTTTCACTTATCTTATGTCCTGTATGGCTCACAACAGTCTTTTAGGGACGTAGGGTGAGAGATGCTGCACCTCAACACTCACTTCCATAATCACTAAGTCAATAAATAAATAAATAGGGCCTGTGAATTACATACTAGCTCTTAAAGCCACAACATGGAAAAAACATATGGCACTTTTATTCACATTTTTATGGCCTAAAAAAGTTAGAGAAAGGGAAGTAGAATCCTTTTGTTTGCCTGGAAGGAGAGGGAAACAGAACATATCTTAATATCTTCCACAGTTGTTCTGTGCAATAAAATATTTCTTTTAGTTTTCTTTTTATGTGCAAAATATACTTACTCCCACCCCAAGAGAAACAACCAAAAAGTCTCATAGAGCAATGACACCAAATGCAAAGCCTGGGATACCTGGTGATATGCTGTAGTCTCTACAGCTGGTATTGTGATATGCTGTAGTCTCTACAGCTGGTCTAGATGCGGTGCTTTTTGGTCTAGAGACTTTAGGGCTGAAGTGGTAAGTTTTCTCTCTTTTGCACATCAAATATACAATGATGGTATTGGATAATTACAGTAAACTTTCCCACTTGGAAAAGGAACAATTGGGAAATGCACAGTAGAGCAATTCTAACATCCCACTGCACAGACATTTTGAGAGATCTTTCACTGAGAGTGAGCACTGGCCCTCTTTTTTATAATGCAGGTTCAATTCATGTAATTCATGGCCTCTGTCCACCTCTTTATTCATTCTATCCAGAGAAAGTAGAGTGATTTATCATTAATAAATTATGCAAAATGAACTGGGGATGCTTACTTAGGTCAGCTCTACCTTTCTTTGTCATGGGAATGAGCAGCCTCAGGTAATGAACATTCACCTGTGCTTCTCCATGTCCATGATTTAGATACTCCATCCTTCTATTAATACTTCTCAGGTGAAATGGTCTACTCTGATTTAGCATTGCCTAGTGGGCAAGGTAAGCCTGTCAAATACTGATTCAGATAGCACATCTATTTAGCTGCACAACTAAGCTATATCCTCTGCCTTCATTAATAATAATGTAATAATGGTGATATTTTGATTTTTTTTATCATTGACTTTATTTCTTTTTTTTCAGATGGGAATGATTAAACAGATTTATCTCAGAGAATTAAAAATTGGGTTTTCTATTTTAGAAATTCCATTTAGCTTTATGTTTGAATGTGTTTTATCAGTATTTTCTCTAATTGCGTTGATCCATTTGTTTTATCACGTGTCCATGACTTTTTCCAGGATGTTCTTTAATGTTAGGAATAATATTTTTAGGATTCCTATTGTGTTTTTCTTTCTAATCTTTAAAAGTTATTTAATAGTGTCATTTTAGTCCTAAATTTTTAAAAAATTATTTAATAGTGTCATTTTAGTCCTAAATTACTTTTTCTGCAGACTTCTCTTTTATACTGTTTTGCTGATATTTGAGTCATAGTCCAGATGTAGATGAAAATCTACGTTAATTTTTGGAGATCTTGAAAAACTGAATAAGAGTGATGAGGGGACGGAAGTGTAAAGATAGCCCTTGAATGTCTGGCTTCAATAATTGGATGGTACTATTAATTGATATCAAGATTTCAGCAGGAGGAAAACATTTTGATTATAGAAAGAAATTTGTTTGCACATTGGACCTGATTGTTTTTCCAGAAACACCTTATACTTGAAAAATTAGAAATTTTGATTAGTGAAAAAGGAAAAAAAATGAATCACAGGGCAGACCTGAGTGGGTTGTCTCTATTTGGGTAGAGAAACTTAAGAGACCTGTAAACACTGAGTTTCTGAAGACAGTGGCTCTAAAATGTTAGGAAAGAGTGCTAAAAATTATTGAAAAGGTGACGAAGACTAACTTAAGTTTCAGTAATTTATGTCAGTTTTTACAATCCTGAACTTCAATAAAAAGGAAACTGTGTTTCTTTTTTTCATGGTTTCTTATTTGTATATATTATGATCCCAAGTTCCATAATTCATTATTCTCTGTAATACCATAATTCCACCTTGCAGGTTAGTGAGATAATATTAGAATCTAGGAGCTATTTATAAAATAGGAAAAAAGCTTCAATTTCCAAAAGAAGACAATATATAAGAAAGTGCTATTGAATTGCATCGAAGATAAAACAGGAATTCAAGAAAAAGGGCTGAGGGTTGGCTGTTCTTGGTCTCTCATCTCCACATCTTCCCACGCTTCTAGTCCATCTCCATGAGTTAGAGAACTTGGCTACTATCAGCTAGGGGAATACTGAGTAGGAGGTTTCTACTCAGTATTATAAAACATAATGTAATAATGTTGAAAAACACTAAAAAGAAAAAGAAAACAATCACCAATACTTCCATCACTTTAATGCAGTTATTGGAATGTTTTATTCATTTCTTTCTAGTCATATTCTATAGATTTATATATATATTTTAGATGGTTGCAATCTTAGATTGATTTTTTTTCTCAATTAGTAACATAAGCATTTAAAAAAATGTTGCTATATGGTCTGCATACTTTTTAAAATGGCTTTTAAGTTTGTTTTTGAGGGGAGATTTGAATGCTAAATTTTAACATTTTTGCCACTTTAAATAATGCTTTTATGATTATACTGACAGTGCTTAAGACATGCTGTCCCAAAATATGGCACCTTGGCTTTTGGAAAAACAAAAACACAGAAGCAGGAAGGTCACTTTGACCATCTCCCACTCTTTGTTCTGGAAGCAGGCCATAAAACTTAGGAAGGTCACTCTCTGACCACCTCTTCCCTTTCTCCCCTTGAAGACCTTCATGTGACAAGTGTCCTGCCCTAGACCTGGAGAAAAGGAACTGTTACACAGGAATGCCAACAAGAATCTGAACAAACAGGCCTTGCTAAGTTCCTCCCATTCACCATTGGATACTACTGCCCTTTTGTTCTCCAGTCATACTTCTGCACTACTGTTCATAAAATTATGCAATTTCCCATTTCTTTGGGTCTTCACTTCTGCAGACTGGCATGTCACGTACAACATATTAAATTAGTATGCTTTTCTCTTCTCAGTCTGTCTGTTGTTATAGGGGTTTCAGCCCTGAACCTTGTGATAGGTGAGGAAAATATATTACTTTTTCTCTTCTACATTTTCTGGCACATAGAGTGGCAGAGACATCCTACTGGCTCTGGAGTCTGCAAATGAGATCCTGGGAAAACTGACAAAGTGCTGGCAGAAGGGTAAGAACTCTTACCGAGGACAGCTCTCTCAGATCTCTGTAGCTCCCTGTAGAGACTGAAAGTTTTTTTTCCTTGGCCAGCACAATGGCTCATGCTTGGAATCCCAACACTGTGGGAAGCTGAAGTGGGAGGCAAGAGGATTGCTTGAGCCCAGAAGTTTGAGACCAGCCTGGGCAACATAGACCTTACCTCTATAAAAAGTTTAAAAAAAATCAGTTGGGCATAGCGGCATGTACCTGTAGTTCTAGGTACTCAGGAGGCTGAGGTCAGAGGATTGCTTGAGCCCTGGAGGTTGAGGCTATAGTGAGCTCTGATCTTGCCACTGGAAAATTTATTTTTTATTGTCCCTTTTTTGTTTTAGATTTAGATTAGCAGGCGAAATACTTCATACCCTCCACCTCAGATTGGGAGGTGTGTGGAGTATTTCACCTGCTAATTAATTTTTTAACTTTTCTCTTGTTAATCTGTCTTTTGTTATAGGAATCTCTGCCATGAACATTGTGACAGGTCAGAAAAATATTACTTTTCTCTCCTACAATACAAATATAGATAGGCCCTTTCTATTGGATTTTTACATAGAATAAAATTACCATAAAGAGAGATTACTTGTAGAACAATGACTATAATTCTTTTTAACTGTGTACTGGCAAATTGTTTTCCAAAAGTTTTCTTTAATATATGCTGACATCAACACTGTGTATATTTTGTTAGTGTTACATGATCTAATTTTAAAGGCAACAATTATTAGTTTTTATTAGGCAGATGTTATATAATCTAAAAGTCAATAATGATTATTCATCATAAGATGTTATTGTTTTAAAAAATTGCATATTTTTTGTTACCGGTGAGGCCAAAACCTCTAATATTTTGTTTATGCATTGTATTTTTGTTAATTGATCATCTGTATTTTTGTTCATTGAGCTGCCTGCCTTACCATTTAAATTATTTGGTTGTTGTTCCTTAAAAAGTTTAAGGTTTTGTGGAGTTAAATTTGTTAATTATTTCCTTTTGTTGTTTCTACTACCTTTAAACCTTTAAAAGTCATTACTTCTCCAAAGACCTGAAAAATATTCTTTTCTAGGTTTTTTTTTTTTTTTCCTCTGAGAGAGGGTCTCACTTTGTTGACCAGACTGGAATGCAGTGGCACAATCATGGCTCACTGCAGCTTCACCCTCCCTGGCTCAAGTGATCCTCCTGCCTCAGTCTCCCGAGTAGCTAGGACAACAGGTGTGTGCCACCATCCCTGGCTAGTTTATTTTTAGTAGAGACGAGGTCTCACTATATTGCCCAGGCTGGTTTCAAACTCCTGGGCTCAAGTCATCCTCCCACCTTCGCTTCCCAAAGTACTGGGATTACAGTTGTGAGTCACTGTGCCTGGCCCTTTTCTAGTTCTTTATGATTATTGGATTTATAAAGGCACTGTACAAAAAACATTTTTGTGTAGAATGTAAGGTAGATCTCCATGCCTTGTTTTTTGCCAACATTTTAACCATTAATCCTGTGAAAGATTTTTTTATAGTAATCAGAGCTGTGCAGAAATGGAGCAGTTCACCAATCTTAGAGGAGGACCATATACTGAGCACTCATTATTTGTATTTTAAGCTCCAAATGGGTTGAATTGAATTATTGTTATTTAGAGACAGGATCTTGCTATGTTGCCCAGGCTGGTCTTGAACTCCTGGCCTCAAGCAGTCCTCCTGCCTTGGCCTCCCAAAGTGTTGGGAATTACAGACATGAGCCACCATGCCTGTCCTGGAAGATGTTTTAAGAACTCTTTCAAACTTGAAGTTCAAGAAAAAGATGTGTTTAGATGGGAAATTAAATGTGTCTATTTCTCATTTATGAGAGATTTCTTAAGAAAACTAAACTTTATGGCTTTCCAGATGACTAATTGCAGAGGATTGTGATAAAAGTAATTTTAAAAACTGAACTAATGATTTATTTAGAAAGTATTTTCTATCCACAAGAAGTAGTTTGCTTAAAGTCACAAGTCAAACTCCTCACAGTTGATCATTTGTTAGTCTTTACAAGTGACTGTCTGAAAAACTTACCTCTTACTGTTTGACTTGCCACAGAGAAGAGCTAACAATGTATCTTTTGGGTATGTAGAGAGAAAGCTTCTTGGTCCTCCAGTGAATTTGTTCTCTTATCAGGTACAAACCCCTCTTCAGTGGAAAGTAGTACTCAATTGTTCCCAGTCTGAGTGGTTTCTGATGGAATTTTTTACAATCACTTTATTTTTTATTTTTTTGTGACAGAGCCTTGCTCTGTTGCTCAGACTGGAGTGTAATAGTGTGATCATTGGTCGTCACAGCCTTGATGTCCTAGGCTCAAGTGTTCCTCCTGTTTCAGCCTCCCGGGTAGCTGGAACTACAGGCATGTGCCACCATTCCTGGCTAATTAATTATTATTATTTTTTTCTTGTAGAGACAGGGTCTCTGTTTTCCAGGATGGTCTTGAATGTGTGGCTTCACACAATCCTCCCATCTCAGCCACCTGAAGTGCTGGGATTACAGGCATAAGCCACTGTGCCCAGCCTACAGCCACTCTAAATTCTACATTGACTACTGTTGTTCATTGTCGGCACAATGGAAAGCAAGGTTGTTTTGTACTGTTATTGGTGTAAGGTATCTGAGTTACCAGCAGCAAATCTATACATGTCTGCAGCAACCTCAATTCTTGACTCCTCAGAAGAAAGAATTTCACGCGGGGCATAAAGGCAGAAAAAGAGACCGAGGCAAGTTTCAGAGCATGAGTGGAAGTTTACTTTAAAAGGCTGTAAAACAAGAAAGGAAAGGAAAGTACACTTGGAAGACACCCAAGCTGGCGACTTGAAGGACAAGCGCAATGTTTTTTTTGAGACGGAGTCTCGCTCTGTCGCCCAGGCTGGAGTACAGTGGCGCGATCTCGGCTCACTGCAAGCTCCGCCTCCCGGGTTCACGCCATTCTCCTGCCTCAGCCTCCCGACTAGCTGGGACTACAGGCGCTCACCACCACGTCCAGCTAATTTTTTTGTATTTTTAATAGAGACGGGGTTTCACTGTGTTAGCCAGGATGGTCTCGATCTCCTGACTTCGTGATCCACCCACCTCGGCCTCCCAAAGTGTTGGGATTACAGGCGTGAGCCACCGCGCCTGGCTTTGACAAGTGCAATGTTTAACCTTGATCCTCGGACTTTCTAGATTGTCCCACTTCCGGCATCTTGCATCCCTTTCCCATGATTCTTCCCTTAGGGTGGGCTGCCCACATGCTGGGTGCCCTCCTTACCCTTGGAAAGTGAGCATGTACAGTGTGTTTGGGAAGTTGTATGCATGTGCATCTGAGACTTTCTTCCCTTTTAAGGTAGAGTGCCCCCAGAAGGTTATATTCCGCCATTTTGACTCTTAATGTATATGCCTGGGAAGTTGCTTCTCCCTGGTATCTATGTTCAATTAACACTTTAGTGCCACAAGTGTGGACCATCAGGAAATGGCCTCTCCCTGGCACCGGCTACCAATTTATCACTTTTAGAAAGGCAACGTGACAATTGCCAAACCATCACCCAACATTCTTGGTGGGTGGGGGAGAGCCCTCCCCTGCCCCACTTATGCCTCTAAACTACCTGTAACAGTACCAGAAGTCTAGTTTTACAGTAGCATATTTCCGTGTTAGACATCAAAATATGCCACACTAAAATAAGACTCAAACTTTTCATAAAACAAATTTACATCTACGAAGGGAATCTTCATTTGTAAGGTTGTCACTCTGTCCCCACACTGGGAAGAGGTTGACTAAATCTCTAGAGACTCCAAATCAACGGTGAAGGTACTGACTTAAATCTGCCGTGCAAATTTTTCTTTTGTTTAAGGTGATTTACCTGCCCATTCTGTTTTGACTAGGCGTTTTCCCACAGCCTTTTTGCTTTGTTTCACAGAACAGTACTTAAACTATACCTTTGAAATCAACTCTAAGGATTTACTGATTTCTCTGCGTTATCTTTCATGTATATTTTCCAGGGAGATGTACATATTATCAGATATTCAGGAAGTGTACATGTTATTAAACTTCTATTTGCTTTTTTCATGTTAACCTGTTTTTTGTTACAGAGAGTCCCACTTAAGAACTATGAAAGGTAGACAAAAAAATTATTTGTATTTTCATACACCTGTATCTGGAAACAGGATGGGGCAAAAAATAAGATAGTTTACTCATTGGGGATGTTGGGGCTCAGAAAACAGTATCCCACAATATGGCACTTCGTTATACTGGGTACTTTGAATTAATGGCAATTGAAAGGCCTTGGAACCAAGATCTCCCTAACTTTTGCTTGCCCCCATTTTCTTTCAATTCCAAAGTTCAGAAAGGGACTTTCTCTGAAGTTTTCTTATCTGACAGAAGGAAATTCCTCTAAAAGGAATGCAATTGTTACAAACCCTGTTTCTGGAATCTACAATAACCAGAAAAATTAACTTGTATCGCAGGAGAGGAGACTAAAAGGACTCCGCACACAGGCCACTATGCCCTGACAGACTTTTCACCAATTCTTCTGAGGGCTGCTCAGAACTGGTGAGAAACCTGTCTGGGCATAGTGACCTAAGAGACTTTATCTGCATAATAAGATAACCTTTGTTCATCATGCATTTCCTTCCCTCACCTTCCACAGCTTGTGTCACCACTTCTCCAACAGAAGTCACTATTTTTTTTTTTCTTTTGGTGGCTCAAAATGCTATTTAAAGTTGAACCATTTGAACTTTCTTTGAGTCTCATATTTTGTGGTACTCCCATGCATACACACATAAGTTTGTATGTGTTTTCTTCTATTTAATCTGTCTACTGTCAAGTTTACTTCAGAAATTCCTATCGTCAAACTTTCAGACAATAGAGGAAAAGTTGAAAACATTCCTATGGAGGAAAAAAAGCACTAGTTATCTCTATTTACAAACAGAAAAACTGAGCGTAGAAAAATTAATATCTGATCTATGTTGTCAGTAGAAGGGTAACTTATTTCCCAATTACATAGTGATTATTAGGTGCCAGGTATAATTCAACCCTGTCAGGTTAGCATTATTTTTATTCCCATTTTAAGATAAGGAAGCTGAGGCTCAGAGAAGTTAAGTAACTATCTCAAGTCACAGGAGTCTGGCTCCATAGACTGTCCTGTTCACCATTCAGTAAGGCTAGGACACGAAAGAAAATCCTGACTTGTGGGGTTAATCCTCTTTCCATTAAAGGTAAGTGCACATTCAGTTATCTCATGAATAATCAAAGCCATATTTACATTTCTGTCCAATGTATTCTTGAAAAAAAAAAAACAATCTCTTCCTTCTCTTCCAGGTTCATTAGCTTGTCTGTAAATTAAATTGACATAAGGCAGATTAACAAGAGAAAAACAATTTTAATTACGTACATATGCATGAGAGTATGCATATGAGACTCAAGCTAGATGATTGAGGCTTATATATCAATCTGAGCTACAGAGAGGAATAGAGGTTTGGGGTATCCTGGGAAATAATGGAGACACATTATGGAAGGGTGAAGAAAAAAGCCCAATTCAGATGAGATGGCCAAGAAAAGCACCTTAAACAAATGTAAGGTTTCTCTATTTGATTAAGAGTCTGTAGGGATTTAGTCATCCTTTTCTTTCTGGTGCAGAGGAGACACACTTACAAATGAAGATTTCCCTTATAGATACAGATTTCTCTTACAAAAGGGTAACTTTCCTGAGCTTCTGTATCTGCAGTTTGTGAGAATAACCAGCTTAAAGTAATCAATATGCCAAAGAGGCATATATTTTTTATTTTTATATACTTTAAGTTATGAGATACATGTGCAGAACATGCAGGTTTGTTACATAGGTATACACATGCCATGGTGGTTTGCTGCACCCATCAACCTGTCATCTACATTAGGTATTTCTCCTAATGCTATCCCTCCCCTTACCCCCTACCCCCACCCCGACAGGCCCCAGTGTGTGATGTTCTCCTCCCTGTGTCTATGCATTCTCATCGTTCAGCTCCCACTTATGAGTGAGAACACGTGGTGTTTGGTTTTCTGTTCCTGTGTTAGTTTGCTGAGAATGATTTCCAGCTTCATCCTTGTCCCTGCAAAGGACAAGAACTCATCCAAATAGGCGTATTTTAGGGGTGTATACTCTGGCCTCCTACCATCATATTTGGGATGGCATGTTCTGAACCCCATCAGTACCTACTCTATCAACTATTTCATCACGTGCTCCTACCAGTCATACACTTGATCTAATGCTTGTTTTATGTGACCCCACCATAAAAGGAAAAAATCAATTCTATTCTGTAATGAGATGAACTACTGGTACATAAGGTTACAAAGTACTTGCAAATGAAAAATAAAATTCTAAGGCCTCCCAACCATGTGAATGGACTCCATTGTCTTGGCCAGGGCACTCCAAAGTTAACCTGAAAGACTAGTTCAGGCCATGACAGAAAGTAGGGGTTAGACATGCCTCATTATGCTCTCCTCTCCTTTGGAATTTAAGGAAAGCTGACCATCATTTAATATCAAGACAGACCTTAAGTCTGAAAAGAAACATGTATAATCTATTCTCTCTGAAGCCTGCTACCTGGAGGCTTCATTTGCCTGATAAAACTTTGGTCTCCACAACCTCTTGTCATATCCCAGACATTTCTTTATATTGATGGCAACTCTTTCAACCAAATTGCCAATCAGAAAATTTTTAAATCTACCTATAACCTGGAAGCACCTGCTTTGAATTGTTCTGACTTTCTGGACCGAACCAATGTACATCTTAAATGTATTTGACTGATGTCTCATGTCTCCCTAAAATGTATAAAACCAAGTTGTGACCCATCCACCTTGGGCACATGTCATCAGGATCTCCTGAGATTGTGTCATGGTTGTCACCTTAACCTTGGCAAAATAAACTTTCTAAATTGATTGAGACCTGTCTTAGATACTTTTGGTTTCACATACTGAAACTTTGAGCTGGAAGCCATATTCTTTAAAGGATACATGTATTAAAGCAGGCTTTATTTGTTTGGCTGCTTCAAAGACATAGAAAGGAAATCAAACACAAATGTGGTCAGGTTAAAAAGAATGGGAAGATCTTCTTGCATTCTCTCCTATAGGAAGTTGGAAGAGGACCACACTAATCTTGTTCTCATCACTAGGCTTATTCACAAGTAATACGAAGGCAAGGATAACCCTTTGTCAACCAAAAGAGATAAGGAGACTATCTTAACATTACGTTATTGAATTGACTATGAAATAGGATGCAGATAATTATTAGTGATTTTCCCCACTTCTATTATAACCTGCATTCAATTGCTGCAACTATAAAATATCAGCTAACTTTGCTGTGACTCATAGAAGAGAAGGAATCATAAGCTTATAAAAATTATCTTCTATCTTTATTCTGTTGGATCTCTTCTTTCCTTCTTAAGTTACATTTTGAAGAATTATGCTAAAATGTTTGGTCATTTTGTGTTTCTTTGAAATATCTAATTCTTAGGTTTTCCTGATTTAAAAAATTAGAGAAAACAGAATACAACTTAAAATGTCAATGTTTGTAACAGAGGTATCAATATTATTAGTATACCCTGTTCTCATGATAAAATATTTACTTTTCTGTAAAATGAACTCAAGCATTTCTTTAACCAGAACTTTGAGCTGCCTGCTTATGAGAACTGCAACATATGGTTTTCCTCTTCCACTTTTTAATATTTTGGTCTCCAGTGAATCCACATACAAAAGCTTCCTTCCTCTAGCTGGAGTCCACAAATGAAAGGCTTTTCTTCTTCTGATTGTAGATTAGCCTGCCAAGAAACAAACATGAGCTGGAGAACATCACTTTAATTTATTGATGGGATACAGATGACACGGAAGTCTGTCCTCTTCTAGGCTTTTGGGAACACTTTAGGCTGACCCAGCACAGCTGAGTTCATACGGCAAAGACAGCTTTTGCCAAAAACCAAAGCCAATAGTCATTGCAAACCTCTGAACCAAAACATTCCTTAAGTGCTTGAATTTCCCTATAATTTGTGTAGGTTCCCTTTTTGTCAATGAAGCTAGCAGTGGATAACTAGCTCAGCGCAATCAGACAAAACAACTGTACCATTCATTCAGTAATTAGATGATAGCTGTACTGCATACTTTATGGTTTCCGTTCTTCATTCTTTCTTTTCAAGACCTTGGAGACAAACTGGGATGTTTGGCAAAGCAGAAGTTCTTGTTGAAAAATATCCTGTCTTTACTTCAGGGTTGCTAGTAAGTCCTATTCTCAGAGGCAAAACATTAGCTGCACACAGCAGGAGAGGATCAGCCAAGTTTAAAAAAGTTTGGTTCTTATTTATATTACCTTTTGCCTCACTTTACAGTTCTGCCTTACTCAACACTGAAGAAGGTTTCTAGTCTTATATCTAACAGGATGTAATGAATTTGATACATGAGCTAAATGCTTACAGTCGATCTTACATAAATTTTAAAATTTTCAGATATAAAAGTTTTATGAGAAGTGAAGTACAAACAGAAAGATAGAATAATTAAATGGAGAGGAAGTCTGTGTGATTAGAGTTAATCTGCTTTGAAGAGCACATGGCAGATTAAATTACTGCTTGGGCTAAGAATGGTGAGCTAATGCTTTTTCTTTTTTGCAAACTGTTTTTGTTTCTGAAACCACTAGAAGTAAAAGGGAGGGAAACTTTCTACAAGAAAACTGTAATACACTCTTAGATTTTGTTGCCATTACTGCCTTTAAGAAGTAAAGGTATCACATTCATGAAGTTGATGCTGCCTGCTGCCTGCACTGAAGATTATCTGGTCCTATTAGTCAGGGGGCTTGGTTGCAAGTGACATAGCTTAAGCTAGTTGAAGGAAAAGAACAATGGTTTTGGCTTTTCTATCTAAACCAGGAAGGGCAGGAGTAGAGCTGTCTTTAGGAATATCTCAAATCAGCGATCTAGGTCCTCATCAGAACTTTTTCCTTCCCTTCTCATCACTGCTGCTGCTTTGGCTCGACCTCCTGGGGCCATCTGGAACCATAGCTAGAAATGTGGCTAATGAAATATTTAGCCTCAATTACAGCTCTGAGATCAAAGATTTGAAAATTTGAAACTCTTCTCAAATTCCAGATGACCCAGGACAGTACTATGATTTGCCTGGCTTGAAGATATGTCCCTTCTCTTGAATCTGCCACTTTGGACACTGAGATGAGACATAACTGGCCCAGCCTAGGTTGCAAACCCATCCCTGACTTTGATGCCAAGGGCTCGGGACATGTATCCAGAACAAGGAAAGGAGGACAGAGCAAACAAAAATAAGAATCATTAGAAATTTCTCACTGTTCCTTAGGTTATCCCCTCAAAAATAGTATTTGATATTTAGAAATGTGTTGGGATTCTTCTCTGAAAATATGGTATGACTGAATATACCAAGTAGATTTTACTTGTAATATTGGAAGGCAGGAGGTAGTCAGCTGAAAAGGAAATGGTGTTTGTAGTCCTTGATTTGATATATGAGCACAAGAAAAATTGTATAATTCGACTGAGGTTATGCTTCCCTTGTACTCTAAAGAAACATTTAAAACTTTTTTTTCTAAGTTTACTCGATGGGAAAGTAGTACCTGCAGTACTATTAAATACAATCTAATTTTTCTCATTATTGAAGTGTAAAACAAATTGGCTTGAAGGCCAGGTTAGCCATAGTGTTCAGCAGAGAAAGGGGTGCATAAAACTGTCACCTTGCTCCAGAGCAGGGGTTGTCAATTTTTTTCTATAAATGGTCGGGTAATATTTTTGGTTTTGCCAGGCATATAGTCTCTACTGCACCTATTCAAGTCTGGTCTTGAAATAGAAAAGCAGCCATATGTAAATGAATGTGTGTGGTTGTATTCCAATAAAACTTTATTTACAAATACAGAATGTGGGCATTGTCAACCCTGATATTTATAATATATGTCAAGGAGGTGTACAAAAATAAATACTAAATAAATTCTATGTATTAGCATTTAGAGGTATGCTTGAGTGACCTAAGAGTATAGTTTTAGAAATCGCTTGATCTGGCTGGGTGCAGTGGCTCACGCCTGTAATCCCAGTACTTTGGGAGGCTGAGGTAGGTGGATCACAAGATGGGGAGATTGAGACCATCCTGGCTAACACGGTGAAACCCCGTCTCTACTAAGAATACAAAAAAATTAGCCGGGCATGGTAGCGGGTGTCTGTGGTCCCAGCTACTTGGGACACTGAGACAGGAGAATGGCCTGAACCCGGGAGGCGGAGCTTGCAGTGAGCCGAGATCACGCCACTGCACTCCAGCCTGGGCGGCCAAGTGAGACTTCGTCTCAAAAAAAAAAAAAAAAAAAAAAAATAGCTTGATCAGAAGATTGTCTATTAAATGTAGTAAATAGAAGTTTAAAAATGCTAATTCTTGGGTAAAAACGTAATCACAATTAAACTATTTCCATTATTGGGAAGTGCTTGTAGATGTGCTGCTTATTTTGTGTTAAAATATTTTTCAAGAATGAACATAACATTGATTGAAATTAAAATCCAATATAAACATTTGGAAATAAATGTGCTTTTTACAGTATGTGGGCATACCTAACTTTTTACTTCTGGGACAAATAGTTACTGGCAACATATATGGTGAGCAAATTTGTTCTTTTATTTGTAATGCTTGCAGTCATGTGGGTGTACCATTATTATTTGACATTTGAAATATGTCTCAATTGAAACATGAAACTTTTTCATGAACTGAAAAACTTGGAACTCCTTCAAGCAGAGGATTATTTTTACAAAATAACATTCAATATTTCCATTATATCTGTTTATTTTTAGGCATTAGGTAGCTATAAAAAATCACTTTGGGGCCAATTTTGATGTACTTCTTAAATATAATTGTACCAAATAAGAAAATATATTTTTCATATTTCATGCACTCTCAGATGCACTTTTTTTTTTTTTTTTTTTTTTACATTTTAAGCTCTTTGAAGTCAGGATTCTTCTAATGATGGAAAACAACTTACAAATTGCTGTCTGCTAGGTTGCAGTAATGAAACAGTTGTAATTACCTGCATGAAATTAGTCTGAAAACTCTCCTTTGGAACTTTAGTGTGAGATTCAGAAAGTCAACACGAATATTTATGGTATGAGGAACCGGGTCATGGAAGAAAATTCTCCAGACCGTGGGGGAGTATTCTTTTAAGGAAAGTGCATGACACCGACATTGATTTTGCAAAGGAGAGTTGTGTGTGGAAAGTCATAGACACTGGTGATGCTCAATCAAACTTTGATTTAGAAGAGCAGGCTTTAAATGCAAAGAACTTTGGAAATGCCTTTACTCATTTATTTTGCTACTATATTCATTTTACGTATACACAAAAGTAATATACAATAAAAATCTATCTAAAGAAGTCTAAAATAACTCTTCTAACAAGTATAATCACTGTAAGTGATAAAGCATTCTGTCATAGTTTAATTGGAAGCATTTTTCTTAGTGGTATATAGGAAAATGGGGCTTCCTACAATCAATTATGTATTTGATGCAATGACATAAAGCAATATATACATATATTTAAATATTAATAAATGCCAACTTTACTTCCTATACTTGCAGTGACAACAACAATAATAATCACATAACTGCTCTTATTAAATAAAATCCAACTTGTTAACTAAAAAAGCATAACCACTGCAGCATCCATTTATTCATACATATCTCACTGACTCTTCCAAAACACAGCTTGAAAAGATCCAGCATGAATGCTTAATTTCAGTACACTGAATTTAAGACCAAATACACACTGTATAAGTACCAAGGCTAAATTGTGATCATCATTACATTAGATTCTATATCTTTGCTATTATGAATAGTGCTGCAACAAATGTGGGGGTACAGGTATCTTTTTGATATATTGACTTTTTTCCCTTTGGATAAATACCCACTAGTGGGATTGCTGGATCATGTGGTAGTTCTATTTTTAGTTTTTTGAGAAATCTCCACACCATTTTCCATAATGATAGTAATTTACATTCCCACCAAAGTGTTTAAGAGTTCCCCGCTTTTTTTCACATCCTCACCAGCATCTGTTATTTTTTGTTTTTTTGATAATAGCCATCCTAGCTGGGCTGAGATGATGTCACATTGTGGTTTTGATTTTAAGTTCTCTGATCATTAGTTTAAGCATTTTTTCATATACTTGTTGGCTGTTTGTATGTCATCTTTTGAGAATTGTCTACTGGGATTATTTGTTGGTTTTCCTGTTGAGTTGAGTTCCTTGTATATTCTAGACACTAGTGGCTTCTCAGATAAATAGTTTACAAATATTTGTCTCTATTCAACAGGTTGTCTCTTCACTGTGTTCATTGTTTTCTTTGCTGTGCAGGAAGGTTTTAGTTTAATTTAGTATCATTTGTCTATTTTTTTATTGTTGCCTGTTCTTTTGAAGTCATATACATGAAACCTTTGCCTAGACTAATTCTTAAAGTGTTTTCCCTAAGCTTCCTTCTGGTAGTTATATAGTTTCAGGTCTTACATTTAAGTCTTTAACCTATTTTGGGCTGATTTTTGTATGTGGAAAGAGATAGGGGTCCAGTTTCTTTCCTCTGCCTACAAATATCCAATTTTCGCAGCATCATTTCTGGACAAGAATATCCTTTCTCCAATGTATGTTCTTGAGACCTTTGTCAAAATCAATTGTCTGTAAATATGTGGATTTATTTCTGGATTCTCTATTCTGTTGCATTGGTCCATGTGTCTGTTTTTGTGCTGGTACCCTGGTGTTTTGATTACTATAGCTTTCTAATATATTTTGAAGTAAGGCAGTATGATGCCTCCAGTTTTGTTCTTTTTGCTTAGGATTGCTTTGGGTATTTGGGGTCTTTGTTGGTTCCATATGAATTTTAGGATAGTTTTTTCTATTTCTGTGAAAAATGACATTAATATTTTGATAACGATTAAATTGAATCTGTAGATTGCTTTGAGCAATATGATAATTGTAACAGTATTCTGATCCATAAGCATAGAATATCTTTCCATTTGTTTGTGTCCTCTTCAATTTCTTTCATCAGTGTTTTGTAGTTTTCTTTTTAGTGGTCTTTCACTTTAGTGAAATTTATTCCTAGTATTTTACTTTATTTGTAGCTACTGTAAATGAGATTGCCTTCTTGGTTTCTTTCTTAGTTCATTATTGGTGTATAGAAAATGCTACTGCATTTTGTATGTTGATTTTGTATCCTACAACTTTACTGAATTTAGCTTTCAGATCTTAGAGTCTTTAGGTGGAGTCTCTAGGTTTCTCTAGATAGAAGATTACATCATCTGCAAAGGGGGACAATTTTACTTCCTCTTTTCCAATTTGTATGCTTTTTATGTATTTGTCTTGCCTATTGTTCTGGCTAGGACTTTCAGTACTATGTTGAACAGATCTGGTAAAATTGGGCAGCTTTGTTGTGTTCCAGCTCTTAGAAGAAAGGCTTTCAACATTTCCCTGTTCAGTATTATGATAACATTACATTAGTCATATATAGCCTTTATTATGTGGACATGTTTTCCTTCTATGCCTAGCCTGTTGAGAATTTTTATGAAGGGTGGTTGAATTTTATCAAATGTTTCTTCTGTGTGTATTGAGATGATCATATGATTTTTGTTCTTCATTCTGTTGATATGATGTATCACATTTATTGATTTGTGTATACTGAACCATCTCTACATCCCTGAGATAAATCCCACTTGACCATGGTGTGTTATCTTTTTGATGCACCATTGGATTGGATTTGCTAGTATTGTAAGGATTTTTGGATCTATGTTCCTCAGTGACATTGACCTGTAACTTTCTTCTTTTGCATCCTTGTCAAGTTTTGGTTTTGAAGTAATGCTGTCATCATAGAATGAGTTAGAAAGAATTCCTTCTGCTTCAATCTTTTGAAATAGTTTGAAGATAATTGGTGTTAGTTCTTCTTTGTAAGTTTAGTAGAATTTGGCAGTGTGTAAACTGGACTGGGCTATTCTTTGTTAGGAAATTTCTATTGCTGATTCAATCTCATTGCTCATTATTGGTCTGTTCATGCTTTCTATTTCTTTCTGAATCAATCTTGGTAGGTTGTATGTGTCCAAAAATTTACACATTTCCTTTGGATTTTCCAGTTTTTCAAGTATATAGTTGTTTTTGTCTCTGATCTTTTGTATTTTTGTGGTATCAGTTATAACATTTTCTTTTTCTTTCCCAATTTTGTTTATTTGGGTCTTCTTTTCTCTCTCATCCCTTTTTTATTAGTCTAGCTAGTGGTTTATCAATTTTATTTCTTTTCAAAAAACTTTTCATTTTATCAATCTTTTATATTGCCTTTGCATCTCTATTTCATCTATTTCTGCTCTGATCTTTACTACTTCCTTCCATCTACTAATTTTAGTTGGCTTATGCTTGCTTTTGTCTTATTTTTTTAAATGAAGTTACTTAACCAAAAAATGTGTGATCAAGTCTGCTGTAGGTGAGAGCCAATGTGCTTATTTATGTAAAATCATTATCCATTAATTCTTTCATGTTACCCAGATTAACTTTTTATATGGAATACAGCCCAGTTTCATGTTCTTATTTCGTAATACTTTTGAAAATATTTAAAATACAGTCCAGGTTTCTCTTGTCACTAAGTTAAAAAAAAAATTCTACCTTGGAGTGATAACTTCTTCCTCCCCCTTCTCTTCCTCTTTTCTTCCTCCTCCTCCTTTCTTCTTTTTCTCCTCCTTCTCTCTTTTCATACACACACACATACAAACACCAATACACACACGTACATATTTATCAATAATTGGGTAGATAACATATAAATATTGGGAGCTTTTCAAATAATTTCAGTGGGAAAAATCTCTCATTTCAGTTGATATTACTGATATTTTAATATTATCAGTGATATCCTGAATAATCATGTGAATCTTTGAGGTGGATTTGCCTTTCTTATGAGCCTCTTAACATTTCTCTGTGCTTGTTTTTTCTAGGATCTTAGAAGCAGTGAGGAATTCTTATTCATCTTCACCCTAGTTGTAACTGATATTGTAGGTCGACTCTCAATTTCCATTCCAAACTCCTTCTCCCTTGACTTCTTTACAAATTTTAATGAGGGGGAAAAACACTAGAGATTACACCTCTTGTAAGTCAGACTGACCATCTGACAAATTTCTGAGCTGAGATTTTGATAAAAAAATTATCAGGGAGCACTGCCCTCCTTCCCTTGCCAGGTAAAAAGGCAAAGCCAGGTAAAGAAGAAGATTTTACCATCACCTTGCAAACTTTTTTCTTTTTTGGGATGCACAGAAGTTTAGTAGTCTTCTTGTGTACCTGAGGATGCCTCATGTGCTAGAAAATGGTAAAGTAACGTAGAAGCATGCTCTTCTAGAGCAGCAGGATGATTCTTATTTGAAGGATATCACCCCATCCTTTAGTCATTGTTTGTTGTGTTTTCTGTTGTTTGCAACCACACCGAACCCTAACTTAGTAGTCTTACTCTCACCTCTTCCTGTTTTCTCTGAGATTGTGCTGTAATTTCTTCACCTCCTACATCTGAGGAGCTGCCAGCCAGTATGACTGATGCCTTCCTATCCTCACATCTCACTTAATGGACACAATGCCCATAAAACAGTGGAGTGACAGGGGTTATGATAGGGCAAATGTGACCTTATTTCACCATCATCTGATGTCTTTCATGTGTCTATTTTTAAATGTCTTGTCTAGAGGGTAATTTCCTCTTTCCATTGCCTCTGTCACTTTGTCTCTCTGTAGTAATATTAACATGTAGTTTTACTTGTTTCACCCAGAAGTATGCTGAAATAACTATTTTAATATTTATTACAGAACTGTAATAAGTATCTCCTCATGTAATAATGGAGGAGGAAATTGGCTGTTTGATGCCATAGTTTAGGGAGCAAGGATAATATTGAATTAGGTTTGTTTGAATTATGCAAAAGTAGGTCAAATTTCGAAAACAGGCTAAAGAGTAAACAACATGGGGATTATACAGAAGGGGTGGACAAAGAAGAGAATGGAATGAGGAAGGAAAGGCCAGAGAGGAGGCGTAAGGTGGAGTTTAAAATTGGATAAAATGGTTCACAGGGAAAAAAAAATCACAGCTATTAGGGTCACCAAAGGACTTTTAAAATAAGTGGATGCAGCATTTAGCTCGCATAGATGCTTTGCTTAAATGTGAAGTTTGCTCTGTGTCTTCCCCATCTTCAGTTAAATCTTCTACATTCCTAAATGATTTTTGGATAGAAATCATAGGAGAAGACTTTCATCTTTGGTTCAACACTATACCAAATAGATACTGTAAGTGCAGAATGACTCCACAAATTCAACTGAAATCACTGCTTACAGTGTTCTAAGGCTTCCTGAAAATCCCAGAAATCCTACAGAATGAGGTTTGAAACAGTGACATGTCCCTTAAAGAGCTTTGTGAACCCAGTTGGTATCTGAGTGAGACTAAGATAAAAATGATTACATGATATTAATAGAAGAGTATATCCTAGTCATGAGATATGAAGTTTTACTCAAATATTGCTTTAAGTTTAAGAAAGTTTGGAAGAAAGTTTTTTCCCCCCCAATTTTTGCTTTTTTCCTCTATACATAATGAAAGCTTATGAGGTGAAGGGGACTGTATCTTTTTTTTTTTTTGTCAATAGATTCCCAGAATTTAGGTCAGTGCAAGTCACCTAATAGGTCTCAATAAAACTTTTTTGTCAGGCTCACACCTATAATCCCAACACTTTGAGAGGCTGAGGCAGGAGGATTGCTTGAGGCCGGGAGTTCAAGACCAGCCTGGGCAACAGAGATTGTCTCTACAAAAAAATTTTTAAACAACTACCTGGGTGTAATGGTGCATGACTGTAGTCCCAGCTACTCAGGAGGCTGAGGTGGGAGGATTGTTTGAGCCCAGGAGTTCTAGGCTGCAGTAAGCCATGATTGGGCCACTGCACTCTAGCTTGGATGACAGAGCAAGACTTTTTCTGTAAAAGTTAAAAATAATAAAAGTATTTGAGTGAATAAAATTAATTTAGAAATATAAAAATATGAAATTTGGAGAGTGTACAACTTGATAAGTTATAAGTTCTTTTGTTCTACCTTCCATGTAGAGATAATACTTTGTTAAAAATTAGTTTCATATTTTATAGAAAAAAATTTTATATTGCTTCTTCAAAGTACCTGAATGAATCACTGTAAGCAGTGATTTCAGTTGAATTCATGGAGTCATTCTGCATTTACAATATCTATTTGGTATAGTGTTAAACCAAAGATGAAAGTTTTCTATAATTTCTATCCAAATCATTCTATATATTCTATTTTATATATATATATATATATATATATTCTGTATATTCTATCGAAGGCCTAGAATATGTAGTGCATTACAGGTGCTTTGAGGAAACAACATGAAACTTTCTGCAGTATTTACTACTACAGTGGATGAAAAAATGGTACTTGTTGGTTGTCACTTTTTTTTTTTTTTTTTTTTTTGGAGTCTCACTCTGTTGCTCAGGCTGGAGTGCAGTGGCACGATCTCGACTCACTGCAATCTCCGCCTCCTGGGTTCAAGTGATTCTCCTGCCTCAGCCTCCCAAGTAGCTGTGACTATAGGCACGTGCCACCACGGCCAGCTAACTTTTGTATTTTTAATAAAGATGAGGTTTCGCCATGTTGGCCAGGCTGGTCTCAAACTCCTGACTTCAGGTGAACTTCCCACCTCAGCCTCCCAAAGCGCTGGGGTTATAAGCATGAGACACCGCACCCTGCAGTTGTCACTTTTTTTTTTCTCTAAAGAATCGTTTTGCCAAACTTGATTCATAGTAGAATTTTAGTTTTTTGTTCTTTGTTCTTCTTTTGATGCTAAAATAAAAGTTAATTTTAATAAAATTGTTATAGATTGTTAAACATATTTTAACTAAGGCAAAGTAACTATAAGTAACTAACAAATAATGGAAATTTGGAAATAATTTCTGTTCTGATCACCTTGATTTAAAGCCAGCTTACTCCAAAATGCTGTCACATTGCTTTTATATAATCATATGCTCTCAAGTTAGTTCCTAGAAAAGCACAACAGACGTACAAACTGCAAATAAAAGGTCATTAGTGTCTGGATGTGGGATACTACATATGCAAGTATTGTTTTGAATAATCCTGATATTTCTCAGTCTTATTTACCACAATCCTCTTTCTCCAAATATTTTCCTCTTATATTTCACTATCTGAAGATGGCCATTTTTCTTCAAAAGCCATAGATGCTATCAGACAAAAATTTCTCCACTTAACATTGTGCTTTCCCTTTCTAAGTTGTGTTTAGAATTTATCAATTTCATTGTCTTTTAGCTAGTTGCAAAATCTGAAAAAAATGGTGATTATATCTATGTCAGTATTCTGGTTGCTATATTCTTCTATAGGGTTACCAAAAAAAAATATTATGATTAGGGGAAACTGGGTAAAGCTTACATGCAGATCTCTGTATTATCTTTTTTTAAACAACTGTATGTGAACTTACAACTATATTAGTAAAATTTTCATTAAAACAAAATCTGAGAGAAGTCTATTTCTAAGCAGAGCAGGTTGACTTTGGAGACATAGGCAGGTGAAGATTAATGTAAAATATTGTCTAGATTGTTAATGAATGAGTAAATTAATATATTGTAATATAGTGTATCCTTCTGCTACATAATCTTTCTTTACTACTAATTTATTTCTTTTCAATTACAGGGTCTTCCTTTTTAAAAATAATTCCTGCTTTACTATGTCTTCAATTTCTCCTTTTTGAATATTATGGTGGCTTTACTTAATTTTTACCCAAATTTATTGCTTTGTTATAACTTCCCACAGCTTCTGATTTCTGATTTTGAGAATCCATGTGGCTTTTGGATGTGTGAATTCAATTCTGAAGACTTGCTGAGGCTTGGCCATTCAGCTCAAATTATCGGCATGACCTAGTAACTGGTTCAGTAGTAGATGTATGAGAATCACAGATCCAGCTGAATTCCAGAAAATATTGTGAAAATTCAAGTTCTCTGTGGTTTGAGGACATGAAGCCTGCCTATTTTTTGCTACTATAAGAGGAGTCAGCTGGGCTTAAGTTTCATGTACAGAGATGAGCAAACCTAAAAGAGAGCCAGAGAAAAGGAGCCCCTATTGAAAATTAACTAAAGCCTATATCGTCTTTGGACTTTTTTCAAATGCATGAGATAAACAAACAAACAAAAAACAGACTTTCACTTTTCTTATTGCAACATATGAATCTCTCTAAACTACACTGATACTGAATTCAGTAATGGAAAAGAGGGTGTTGTAAGTAAAAATGTGAAACCAAGGAGAGAGTAGGTAGTGAAGAGAATTGCTCTGTCTTGTGCTGGAGAGTTGGCCTTCCTCATTCGTAGTTATAGGGGAGTTTACTAACCTGTGGCCCCTTGAACTCTGAAATAAGCATCATATAAGAAATGTCATAATGCTAAAGTATGTTGAAGCCTTCTTTTAATGTTCACTCTTGTCCCTTGATGAAGAGATAGGCTTCATTTGAAATTATACCTTCTGGAAGTTGAGAGGAGAAAAAATATGCTTTGTTAAGCAGTGCCTTCTGACTGCAGACTGTTACAAAAAACGATCTGAAATTTGGTTATCTGGTTTCTTGTAGGTTGGAAATGACAAATTCCTAACCCCAAGCTGAAGTTAATATAAGCAAAATTAAAGAGAGAGGGGACTGAAAAAGAGATAAAATTAGGGTAGAGGAAGAATCTGATTTCTCCAATTTTCCCCAGTTCCTCTCTTGAGTGTTCTCTGCCTCTTGGAAGGTAAAATTATTTCTGTGCTGGTGAAGTCCCTGGGATGCAGTCTGGGAGGAAGGAACACATCATCTTTGCTCTGTCGGTCACATGATTTTTGGTGGAAGTCATTCTACTTAGGGCGAGGAGTGTGCATAGAATACCAAAGCTGGGCTGCTAGGAAACAAAAATCTGGGGGTCCAAGGCTGCGTTTGTCAATTCTCACAGAACAACATCTCTGGCTTTTACTACTGGCCCTTGACACTAGCTGGAAGGAAATAGATCATCTTTCTTAATCCCCTAAGGGAGCAGTATTGCCAACAAAACCCAAGCAAGCCTGGCTAAAAATAGCTTATATCTGTTCAACTCTTCAATCTGTCTCTAGTCCCCACCTTTACACTATAAGAAAGTTGACTGCTAAAGAAGTCAGTGTAAGGCAGCCATACCATTTTCCATCTCTAATGTTGCAATGGTGGAGAATGAACAATGAACATGCTCCCCAAAAGCTGTCCTTGGAACTGTTCCATTTGGGAATAACTAAGAACATTTTTTTTTTTTTTTTGAGATGGAGTCTTGCCCTGTCACCCAGGCTGGAGTGCAATGGCACGATCTTGGCTCACTGCAACCTCCACGTCCTGCATTAAAGCGATTTTCCTGCCTCAGCCTCCCAAGTAGCTGGGATTACAGGTGCGCACCTCCACACCCAGCTAATTTTTGTATTTTTTAGTAGAGACGGGGTTTCCCCATGTTGGCCAGGCTGGTCTTGATCTCCTGACCTCATGATTCACCCGCCTCAGCCCTCTAAAGTGCTAGGATTACAGGCGTGAGCCACCGCGTCGGGCCCAACTAAGAGAACTTCTGACATCAATTTTCCTTGTTCTCAAATGCAAGTGCTCTGTTTTGGTTATTCTGTTTTCCTTCCACTAATAAATACTGAATGTTATACAACAGTGGGTGGACAGCTTTTCGGTTAGCTGTAGATACCTGAACCATTCTTTTTGGGTAAGACTGGATTTGGCACAGAAACACTGGGGTTGTCCTAGATACAGTAACTGGAAAGGATTTGGAGTTCACTTCATTTGGTGAGGGAGGGAGTGTACTTCATATGGGCATGGGCATTTTTGAAATTGTACATATACAATGAAAAGTATGTTTGGATGTTGGATGTTGTAACAAAGATGTGGACTGAAGTGGGATCACCTTTTGGTGGTCTCCTCAACATCTACTACATCTTTCCCCCTCATCTTACCAACAATCTCCAGCAGGGGTAATCATGAGACCTTAAGGAAGCCTGCCCCACTGCTGACTCTAGGGAATAGTTTTTATTAGAGAAGCAGAAAATTTTATCAGACCATTCCTAAAGCTTACTCTACTTGTGGATCATTTTGTTTTAAAAAGTCAATACCTTCTTGTTTTTTAAGCAATTCAAGTTGGATTTTATATTTGTCACATAAAAGATAAACATATATACTGCTCAACTTTTTCTGAAAAAAGAAAACCTCCCTCAACTTTTATCTCCTAGCTAGCATTTTATTATTTTTCTCTTCATAACTACAGTTGTTGAAATGTATTGTTTGCTTATCTCTGTAATTTCTCTTCTCCCATTTACTTGATAACACACTGCTTTCTGCTTTCTATCCTTGTCACAGTACAGAAACAGCTATTGACAAGGATATGAATGGCTTGATAATAGTCAAATCAGTGGATGTATTTCTATTCTTAACTTATCCAATCTCCACTGGTTTCAGTTTACATAAACTTCCTGTCTTTTCTTTCTTGGTCGTCTAAAAGACCCTGTCTCATTGCTTTTTAAATAACTGCCTTGGTTCTTTTTCTGTTTATATCAGAATATCTGAAACTAGGTAATTTATAAAGAAAATAAATATATTTATTACAGTTATAGAGGCTGAGAGGTCCAAGGTTGAGGGGCCACATCTGATGAGAGCCTTCTTGCTGGTGGGGACTCTGTGGTCCTGAGGTGGTACATAAAACCACAGGGTGAGGAAGCTGAGTGGGCTGATATGGTAGGTCATGTCTCTTTTCTTCCTTTTGTAAAACCACCAGTTCCTTTCCATATTAATCCATTAACTATTAAACCATTAATCTATAAATAGATTAGTCAATTTCTGAAGGCAGAGCCTTCATGATCCAGTCACTTCTTAAAGGCCTCACCTCTCAATATTGCCAAATCAAGGGATTACGTTTTAATGTGAGTTTTGGAGGGAACATTCAAACCATAGTCATAACTTCAAACAGCTTCTGCTCAATCTCTGTTTTCTTTTCTTCTGCCTATCAACTACATTGTGTTTTCCAGAGTTTCACTGATGCTACATCTTTTTACCCTTGATTTTAAGTGAGCCAAATCTTACTACACATCCTTATATAAATTATAAACACTTTCTAGGCTTATGGCAAGCCCCAGGACTCCTCCAATTTTCCAGTCTGATTGTTTCTAACCTGAACTCTTGGCTCTGTGACTTGAAACTTTTAAAATCTCTGATACTCTGCACTTGGTATCTTACGTGTATTTTTAGAATGGCATGTATTCTTAAATGCACTGTAAGAACTTGGTATTCTTACATTTGAATCTCAGTATAGTCCTATTAATTTAAGCTTGGCTTATCACTTCCTTTCTCAATTTTTTTCTGTTGCACTGGCTAGGAATTCTCTGTCCTATCTCAGGACTATAGAACACAACCACTTCTTTATTTTTTCTCAACCTGAAGACAAGGGAAATAGTTGAATGTACATTTATTTTCCTTCTTACCACCTGTTCTTCACCAACTAGAAGTGGTGTTTTTGAAGCAAAAGTAAAGTCTGAGGAGGCCTTTGGAAACCAAAAGAAAAATAGAAGAATGGCTTCATAACTCGAAGGCAATTTTTAATGTCAACACTGTCCATCCATGTTTAACCAGCAATATTTCATTGATACAAGGCAATGAAGATAAAAAATATCAAAAGACCAGGGAGTAACTAGGTTATAGATCAAGTTGGGTGACTAGAGACACTCAGCAGTTTACTCCTCCACAAAGAAATACCAAAATAACAGATAACCACATGTCAAATAGTGTCTAGAGGAACACACTGGAATTAAGCAAAGTAGTGACAAAGACACCCAGAGGCACAGAGACTTGAGATAGCAGCATAGAAAAAAAAGCGAAGTACCCAGCCAAGATCAACTTGGAGCTAAGATGGACCTCCCCACTACAGGGGAAAGGTAAGCAAAGAACATTCCACATTCCCACCACAGATGCCTTCTGCCCTAGCAATAGGAGAGCCCCACGGACCTTGCAGGCCATGAGCCAAGTATAGGAGTTGTCTGGAGTCCACATGACTGCCTTAGTCAAGAGAGGGAATTTACAGTGTTACCCTCCACCCTCTGGGACCCAGGCCACCAGAGCATTTTGTCTTTTTGAGAGTTGGGTGATCAACAGAGTGCATCCTGCTCTGGGACCCAATAGCTCCTAATTGCCACATCCCTGGGGCCCTACCAACATCCTGTCACATTCATCTAGAGGCTGCAACATTGCAACACCAGCTGGACCCAACTGTGCAGCCATCATCCTGGTACCTGAACCCGTGTGGTATCCTGTACCCTGGGGAACAGGTGGTCCAATAATGTAGGGAGGCTGCCCCCAGGACCAAGGGAACTGACATGCATTGCTGTCTAGAACCTGAGAGCAATTTGCCTGGGGCCCACCACCACCAAAAGTAACACTACCCATACCCACAGTGGAGCCGGCATCCTTCTGGGGCCTAAAAACCAGCTTGCTTGAGACTTGCTGCCTCCTTAGCAGCCCTGCCCTCTTCAGTGGCAGAGCACCTCTGTGCTCACATGCACCTCAGAGGCCTGAGGACCAGCTAGCCTGTGGCTTGCCACCACTATCACCACAGGTAACCCTACTCCCTCCAGTGGTAGAGCAGCTATATACCCACATGTGCCCCTCAGGGGTATGAGGAGCAACCTATTTGGGGATTGCTGCTGCCAGCAACCTCATCATTTTCAGAAGTGGAGCAGCCACACACCCACATGTGTTCCCCATGGGTCATGGAACTGGCCTGCCCAGGGCCTACCATTGTCACTGGTGGCCCCACCTTCTCTAGTGGCAGAGCAGCTGTGTACCTGTGCATGTTCCCCAGGGACTTGAGGACCAGCCTGCCCAGGATCCATTACTGCTACCAACAATCGTGCTTTCTCCAGCAGTGGAGTCACCTGGCACACAAATATACCACCGCAGTGGCCTGAGGATTGGTTTACCTGGGGCTTGCCTCTGTCACTGCCAGTGACTCTGCTCCTTCCAGAATACACATTCTTCTTATCACCATAAACATTCTCCAGGATAGACCACATGTTAGGCCACAAAACTAGTCTCAACAACTTTTAAAAAATCAAAACTATATCAAGTACCTATTCTATGTATTCAGACCACAGTGGAATAAAACTAGAAACCAATGACAAGAGGAACACTGAAAACTGTGTAAATCTATGGAAATTAAACAACATGCTTCTGAATGACAAGCCAATGAAAATAAGAAAATAAAAAGTCTTGAAACAAAGGAAAATAGCAACACAACATCCCCAAACCTAGGGAATATGGCAAAAGTGGTGTTAAGAGGGAAGTGTATAGCAATAAACACCTACATCATAAATGTAGAAAGATTTCAAATAGCCAACCTAATGATGTACCTCAAGAAGAAAAGAACAAACCAAACCCCAATTACTAGAAGGAAAGAAATAAAGATCAGAGCAGAACTAACCAAAACAAACTAAAAACATAAAAAGATGAGCAAAATGAAAAGAAAAAACAATATCCCAACAAACCATTAGCTAAACTAAGAATAAAAAAGAATACCCAAATAAAATCAGAAATAATAAAGGAGGTATTACAGCTGATACCACAGAAATAGAAAGGATCATGAGAATCTATTATGAACAACTATACACTGAAAAATTGGAAAACCTAGAGTAAATGAATAAATTTCGGGACACATACAACCTACCAAGATTGAGTCACAAAGAAATAGAAAACCTGAACAACCAATAACAAGTAATATGATTGAACCAGTAATAGAAGTTCTTTCAACAAAGAAAAGCTCAGCACTGGATAGCTTCCTTGATGAATACTACCAAACTCATTAAAAAGTATTAACAATAATTCTTAAACTATTCCAAAACATTGAAGAGGAAGAAATTCTTCCTAGCTCATTCTATCAGGCCAGCATTACTCTGATACCAAAAGCATAAAACAACAAAAACCAGCAACAACAAAAGAAACCGTAAAGCCAAGCCAGTATCACTGATAAACACGGATGCAAAAATCCTCAACAAAATACTCCCACACCAAATCCAATAGCACATCAAAAAGATTATATATCACAATCAAGTGGGAGTTTTACTAGGAATGCAAGGATGTTTTGACATGTGCAAATCAATAAATAAGATGCATCACATCAACAGAATAAAGGACAAAAACCATATGATCACCTCAATAGATGCAGAAAAACATTTCAGAAAAGCATTTCATAAAATTCAACATCCCTTCATGATGAAAACTCTTAAAAATTATACAGAAAGAACATACCTTAACACAAAAAGGCAAAATATAACAAGACCACACCATATTGAACAAAGAAAAGCTGAAAACTTGTCTTCCAAGAACTGGAATGAGACAAAGATGGCCACTTTCACCACTCTTATTTCACATAGTACTGGAAATCCTAGCCAGAGCAATTAGGCAACAGAAAGAAATAAAGGACATTCAAATTGAAAAAAGAGGAAGTCAAATTGTTCCTTTTTTCAGATGATGTAATGTTATATATAGAAAAGCCTAAAAACTTCATCAAAATACGGTTAGAGAAATGGAAATCCAAACCACAAACCACAATGACATACCATCTCACACTAGTCAGGATGGCTGTTTTTAAAAAGTCAAAAGATAACAGGTGCTGGCAAGGCTGTGGAGCAAAAGGAACACTTTTATACACTGTTGGTGGGAGTGTAAATTAGTTCACCCATTGTGGAAGACAGTGTGGCAATACTTCAAAGACCTAAAGACAGACCATTTGACCCAGCAATCCTATTAGTAGGTATGTAACTGAAGGAATGTAAATTGTTCTATTATGAAGACACATGAACACGTATGTTCACTGCAGCACTATTTACAATAGCAAAGACATGGAATCAACCTAAATACCCATCAATGATAGACTGGATAAAGAAAATGTGTACATATGCAACATGGATTACTATGCAGCCAGAAAAAGATTATGTCCTTTGCAGGGACATGAATGGAGCTGGAGGCCATTATCCTTAGAAAACTAATGTGGGAACAGAAAACCAAATACTGCATGTTCTCACTTATAAGTGGGAGCTAAATAATGAGAACACACCAATGCATAGAGGGGAACAACACACACTGGGGCCATTGAAGTGTGGAGGGTGGGAGGAGAGAGACGGTCAGGAAAAAGAACTAATGGATACTAGGTTTAATACCTGGGTTATGAAATTACAACAAACCTCCATGACACATGTTTACCTATGTAACAAAACTGCACATCCTGCACATGTACCCCTGAACTTAAAAAGAACAACACATTATAAAACTGGAAAAAAAAAAAAACAACCCTCTTAGAAATGGCAAACAAATTCAGCAAAGTTGCAGGTCACAAAATCAACATACAAAAATCAGTAGTGTTTTGGCTGGGCACGGTGGCTTACACTTGTAATCCCAGTACTTTGGGAGGCCGAGGCGGGTGGATCACCTGAGGTCAGGAGTTTGAGACCAGCCTGGCCAACATGGCGAAACCTCGTCTCTACTAAAAATACAAAAATTAGCCCAGCACAGCAGCAGGTGCCTGTAAATCCCAGCTACTTGGGAGGCGGAGGCAGGAGAATCGCTTGAACCCGGGAGGCAGAGACTGCAGTGAGCTGGGATGGTGCCAATGCACTCCAGCCTGGGTTACAGAGCCACATTCCATCTCAAAAAAAAAAAATCAGTATTTCTGTACAGTAACAATGAGCTAGATTTAAAAAATCCATCTCATTTACGATAGCTACCAGAAAAATAGATAACTTGGAATAAATTTCACCAAGGAAGTAGAAGACTTCTACAAAAAATACTACTAAATACTGATACAAGAAATCTAAGACAACACAAAAATTGGAAAGACATTTTATGTTTATGGATTATAAGAATTAATATTGTTAAAATAACCATTCTATTTAAAGGATCTACAGATTCAGTGCAATTTCTATCAATATATCAAAGACATTTTTCACGGAAATAGAAAAAGTCCTAAAATTCACATGAAACCAGAAAATACCCTGGATAGCTAAAGCAATCCCAAGCAGAAAGAGCAAAGCTAGAGGCATCACACTACCTGACTTCAAAATATACTTACAAAGCTATAGAAATCAAAATAGCATGGTAGTAGCATAAGAACAGACACATAGACCAATGAAACAGAATAGAGAGCTCAGAAACAAATCTGGTATTTACAGCCAACTGATCTTTGACAAAAGAACCAAGAACATTTATGGGGGAAAGCACAGCCTCTTCAATAAATGCTGCTAGGAAAACTGGATATTCATACACATAAGAATGAAACTTGACCTCTGTCTGTCACCACATACAAAAATGAACTCAATATGGATGAAAGACTTAAATGTAAGACCTGAAACTATAAAACTATTAGAAGAGCTGAGCACAGAGGCTCATGCTTGTCATCCCAGCACTTTGAAAGGCCAAGGTGGGAAGACTGTTTGAGGCCAAGAGATTGAGACCAACCTGGTCAACATAGCAAGACCCCATCTCTACAATTTTTTTTTTTTTAATTAGCTGGGTGTGGTGGTGCACATTTGTAGTCATAGCTATTCAGGAGGCTGAGGTGGGAGGATTGCTTGAGTCTAGGAATTCAAGACTACAGTGAGCTATGTTTACACCACTGTACTTCAGCCTGGGTGACAGAGTGAGATCCCATCTCAACCCCCTTCCCCACCCCCCGCAAAGAAAACTACTGGAAGAAAACATAGAAGAAATTCTTCACGACCTTATTCTGAGTAAAGATTTAGCTGGGCATGGTGACTCACACCTGTAATACCAGCACTTTGGGAGGCCGAGGTGGGCAGATCACCTGAGGTCAGGAGTTTGAGACCAGCCTGGCCAACATGGTGAAACCCCGTCTCTATTAAAAATACAAAAATTAGCCAGGCGTGGTGGCAGGCGCCTGTAATCCCAGCTACTCAGGAGGCTGAGGCAGGAGAATCACTTGAACCTGGGAGGTTTCAGTGAGTGGAGATCATGCCATTGCACTTCAGCCTGGGGGACAAGAGCGAGACTTTGTCGCAAAAAAAAAAAAAAAAAAAAATATGAGTAAGACCAAAAGCACAGGCAACAAAAACAAAAGTAGCCAAAGACAAATAAGACTGTTTTAAACTAAAAAGCTTCTTAACAAAGGAAAAAACAGTGAAGATACAATGCGTAAAATGGGAGGAAATATTTGCAATCTATATATCTGATAACATCCAGAATATACAAGGGGCTTAAACAGCTCTACAACAATAATAAGAATAATCCTATTTAAAAATGGGCAAAGGATCTGAATAGACATTTTTCAAAAGAAGAGATACAAATGGCCAGCAGGTATATGAAGAAATGCTCAACATTACTAATCACCAGAGAAATGAAAATCAAACCACAATGAGATATCATCTCACCCCAGTTAGAGTGGCTATTATCAAAAAGACAAAAACATGAAAAATGCTGTTGAAGATGTAGAAAAAAAGAGGACTCTCATACATTGTTGGTTGGAATGTAAATTAGTACAGCCATTATGGAAAACAGTATGTTGTTTCCTCAAAAAACTGAAAATAGAAGTACAATATGATCCAGCAACCCCACTACTGGGTATTTATCCAAAAGATAGAAAATCAGCTTATTGAAGAGCTATCTGCACCCCCATGTTATTGCTGCACTTTCATAGTAGCCAAGATATGGAGTCAACCTAAGTGCCTATCAACAGGTGAATAGATGGAAGAAAATGTGATATATATATATATATATATATATGCACACACACACACACAAAGACATTGGAATATTATTCAGCCATAAAAAAAGAAAGGAATTCTATCATTTGTGACAACATGGATGAGCCTGGAGGACATTATGTTAAGTCAGGCAAGAGAGAGAAATACTCTCAGGCATGTTCTCATTCATAGGTAGATGTTAACAAAGTTGAACTGATAGAAGTAGAGAGTGGAATTGTGGCTATTTGAGGCTGGGAAGGGAGGGAGAGAGGATACAGAGAGGTTGATTAGTGGATAGAAAATCACAATTGATAGGAGAAATAAGTTGTAGTGTTATATAGCACTGTCAGGTGAGTAAAGCTAGAATAATTTAGTGGGTAGTTTTAAATATCTGGAACAGAGGATTTTTAATTTTCCCAACATACACAAAGAAACAATTTGAAATGATATGCTAATTATGCTAAAATTGGATCATAACACATTGTATACTTTGTCAAAGGTTTACTTCATACCCCACAAATATGTACAATTATTACATGTCAATTACAAATAAAATTAAGAAAAAAAAAAAAACCTGAGGAGTAACTGGTAAATCTCTTGTGGGTCAAGCAGATCCTAACTGAATGGCTAAAGCAGGGCTCTGCTTCTTTGGAACCCATAAACTCAGGGTTGTCCCAGGGAGAAAGTAGAGAAACTCTGTACTTAGAGATCTATATGGAAGTATTAGTGATAGGCAAGTCTCTTCATATTTTAGATATTGCCTAAAATGCAGAGGGATTTGCTATTCTTCAAACCTGGAAGACAGAGGTCTCCCGAAAAGAATGTGGGACTTAGATCTTTGATTAGAAACATAAGCAGATAATAATTATTTGAAATTGTTGCTCACAAAAAAGCTTCCAAAGACAAGAAATGATTTTTAAGTAGCACTACATGTCCAAGGAAATTATGTGGAGCAATTGAATTCAAACCATCTCCTCAAGAAAAAACTGTGGTCCAGAATGATGTGATTTATTTTCTAGGCCTCTCTTCCTAAGCTCATCTCTTAAATTACGGTATTTTTCAGATGTGTATCCTCGACCCACTGTTCTCATGCTGTGAACCCTTCCAGAGTGATCTCATTTCCTTTCATGATTTCAGTTCCTGATGACTTAAATTCTCTATCTTTATCCTTGACATTTCCCACAGATTCATCCATCTGTCTCCCATAGCATTATCTTAAAATCTCAGACTCAGCTTTTATAAAATAGTAATTAGTCCCACCACCACATCTCCTTCACCCCTGCCATCTGCCCAACTTCTTCATTATTATTATTTTCCTATCTTTATTGTGTTTAGAACTACTGACAACCACTTTACCCAGGCAAAAACCATCAACTGAGACTTTCTTCTCTTTATCCCAATATCCAATACATTTTTGTGAATTTTAACTCCTGACTATTTTTCAATCCTGCTTTCCTTTTTCTATCATGCTGCCCTTGTTTTAATTCAGGTCACTATTCTCTTTATTCTAAATTACTATAACTTCTTAACTGGTCTATGTCAATCAGAATTTGCATTGTAAGCAATAGAACATGATTTTGGTTAGCTCAAGCAGAAGAGAATGTTTCACCAGGTTTGGGAATACTTATAGAATCAACAAGATAGTTGGACAGCGAGACTCATAAGCTGTGACAGAACCAATGAAGTCTGGTTAGCTGGGGCCACAGCCATTGTGATTCATCAGAACCATCTGCTTAGGACACCACCACTAGCACCGGCACTGCTGAAAAATATCCCATTCCCACCTGTGGCTCTGCTGACACTTCACCCTCTGGACGGTGTTATTGGTGAGTGAAACAGCTAAATGTTCTTTCACCTTATTTACTACTCCAGATTCAAAGTCCTGAGTACTTGTATCAAATTGTCTGAACCTAAATTGTATGCTCATGCCTTAGGTACTAGAGGATGGGGAAGGAAAAAAATCTGTTCTCTTTCAATTACTTTGATGGAAAGTACAGCCTGCCTTCTCCAAGCTCTGCACAACAGGCCATTTTCTTTTAAGTTGGAAATACTGAAAAATTGGGCAATTAAAACAATAATAATAAAATGAAATGTCCAATAGGTGGTCTTTTCTTTCAGTCATTTTCCCTCTAATCATTTTTCTGCATAGAAACCAAGAAGAAATAAGGCAGAAGTAATTATCAGGAAGCTGCTGCAGAGACCCAGGCAAGAAATGATGTTCTCCTAAAGTAGAGTTGTGACAGAAGAGTCTGGAGAAATGGGCAGATCTGAGAGGGATCTAGGAACTAGAATTAATAGTGATTCAATCTATAGACGTGTGACCTGACAGGTACAGGGATATGAAGATTGGGGTTGACTTTTCTTCCTCAAGCAATTAAGAAATGAGAGACTCTTAGTTTTATATGTATGTAATTTCTGGGCTTGTGAAGGTGTTAGGTAAGTAGGTGGCTATATGATTTGGTGCTCAGAGGACAGAGCATTACTGGAGATGTGTCTATGTGAGACACTAACATACAGTTGATCATTAAAGTGGTAGGAGATGTTGAGATCACCCAGGGAAGGTACACAAAGTAATAATACCCAACTCCAATGAAGCTCAAACATAAAGGTTCAGTCCCCTCTCATGCCTCCTTGTGGCAGACATTCAGAGACATTTGGACCATGTCAGACGTCAATTCTTAAAGGATTAGCACTTGGTTTATTGCTCCTCTCGTGAACGTGAATCTTACCAAATTCTTGGTATCTTCAGTATGCTTCTGTTGAGTGTATTTCCATTACTCTGGTCACTCAAATTCTGAACCTCCTCATTTCCAAAGATCTTATTCTTCACTCCAGCTCAGCCACCCACTTTCCATGGCCAGATCCGAGACTACTGTTTTTTAATCACATTTTAGCAGATCATGAATCAATGAAGTTGTCACAAACAGCATTTCTTCTCAATGAAATGTAATAGAAAATATCGTCATGCTTAACATATGCTTAGATATAAGCTGGGTTATGTATTGATCGTATCTGATTGTACACAAGATTTATAACTGTTCACATTTGGAAAAGGCCAACTGAAAGCAAGATGGCAAGTTTGGATGGTATTATTTTGAATTTCTTAGTGAATTAAAAAAACACAATCTTCAGAAATGAGACAAGGACAAAAATGATGTCTTTGGGCAAAGGGGAATGAAGTTCAGTTCTCAGATATTATTTCTACTGCTCTCTCTTCTTCCTGCATGATTAGTTTTTCTTTTCTTTTCTTTTCTTTTCTTTTTTTTTTTTTTTCGAGTTTCACTCTTGTTGCCCAGGCTGGAGTGCAATGGCGTGATCTTGACTCATCACAATCTCCACCTCCTGGGTTCAAGCGATTCTCCTGCCTCAGCCTCCTGAGTAGCTGGGATTACAGGCATGTGCCACCATGCCTGGCTAATTTTGTATTTTTAGCAGAGATGGAGTTTCTTCGTGTTGGTCAGGCTGGTCTTGAACTCCTGACATCAGGCGATCTGCCTCAGCCTCCCAAAGTGTTGGGATTACAGGCGTGAGCCACTGCACCTGGCCTAGTTTTTCTTATCTACAAGATTATTCTCATCTACATACAAGATAGTATAATATCATCTGTCTGAAAAAGGAAATGCCCAAGTTACTCCACATCCTATTTCAATTTGCTTCATTTCTTTCTTTCTTTTTTTTTTTTTTTTTTTTCCTTCTGGGGCTCAGAAAACAGTATTTCAAAAGGAAGACCTCAGCAGCAGCCTCAGAGGCAAGTTTTTCTCGGACCTCCTTCTGCCTTCCTGTCTCTCAGTCCCATTCTCCCTGGAGGCTAGCTATAGAAACTAGAATCCCTCTTCCCCAAAGCAGGGCATAGAAATCAAAACTCTTTCTCCCCGAAGTTAGTTATAAAACATAAAAATATTTCTCTAATTTTCCCTCTGCCTTTCTGTGTAAAAACTTACCATAAATAATTGTCTGACCTACCTTGTTTGGAGTGTACATCATAAGACCCCCATTCCAGAGATAATCCTGCCCCATACTCTGAAGGAGGGAATACATGCTCAGAGAGGCCAAGAAGGATCTAGACACACAGGCCTTGCTGAATTTCCCCACTTGGTCTATTAGCATTAGGTCATACCCTCTCTGTGAAATCCTATTTCTACATGGCTGTCCATACTTTGCCAAACCTAAGCATAAAATAAACAATTTCCCATGTATCTTTGGGTCTTCATTCTAAAGGCTCTCACATGTACATGTCAAATAAGTTTGTGTGCCTTTTCTTCTATTAATCTGACTTTTCCAAGTTAATTTTTCATTGAATCTTTAGAGAGCCTCTACAGTTTCTATTTATAGAAAATTTTCCTTAAAGAATTTTCTGTACTCATTATTTCATTTCTTTCTTTCCTTGTAGCTTCTTGTGCCCATTGCAGATTCTCATTTCCAACATTCCACCAAAACTGCTCTTATTAACCTCTGTTTTACACACTCAATGCCATTTGATCATACTTGATTCTTCAACAATGTTTGACAGTGTTGATCATCATCTTCTTTTTAAAACTCTTTCCTCAATTAACCCTGACTCTTTATCACCCTTTGTTCTTCTCATACTTCACTGGCCACTCCTCTCTAGCATTTTACTGTGTTAACCACATTATTTAACTTAAAATAGAGCTTCCGTTGGCTACTGTGTTCTGGTTTACTTGCCCCCTCTTTGGAGACTACTCAATACTTCATACAAGGTTCTCTTAATTTTATTTCCTCAGCCCCAAATATCATGATTTCTTCAGGGATTCCTGCTTGGATCTATTTTTTATTCTTTAATTTATTCATTTAACAAATATACAGCGAGGGTTTATTATGGATGGACTATCATGAGCTGAAATGTAGCAGTGAACCAAATAAGGAGAATTTGTTTGCATGAAGTACAATGCAGTGGGAGTAAACAAAAAATATACACATAAGCAAAAAAAAAATATAGAGGTAAATGGGAAGAAGAAAAATAAAGCATGATGAGAGGGTACAAAATGACTCAATAGGGAGGCAATTTTAGGTAGGAATCTGGGAAGTTTTTGAAAGAAGTTAGGAAAAGTTGTAGGTTGTAATTTGAAAATGAGCATTTCAGGAAGTGAAAACAGCAATGTGCAAAAAGCCTCAAGTAGGAGGATGCCTGGTATGTATAAGAAAACCCAAGTAAGCCAGTGTATCTGAAGTGGAAAGAGAGAGAGGGCAGTAGGATTGGAGGTGAGCAAGGAAACAGGACTGGATCAAGGAAAGCCTTGTGATTCATGGTAGAAACTTAAGATTCTATTCTGAGTGAGATGTAAAACTGTAAGAGTTTTAATCAGCAAGGATCTATGCCTTAAAGGTTTAACTTTGTTAAGTGGAGACTGAATGGCTTCAGTGAAAGTTGGGAAGGAGAGGATGGAAACAGAGAGGCCAATTAAAGGGTTATTGATACTGGCCCTGAGAGAAGAGATGATAGTCTGCACTAGGGTGGTGGTGGGAAGATGTTGGGAACCGAGCAAATTCTGGATATACTTTAATAATAGAGCTTATAGGATATCTGAATGGTTGGGATGTGAAGTCTAAAAATAAGAAGGAAGTCAAGGATAACCAAGTTTTGGGGCTGAGCAACTGATAGAATGGAGCTACCATTATCTGAGATGAAGATGACTGGGGGGTGAGCAGGTAGTGGGAAGGTGTTGAGGTAATCAAATATTTGGGTTTGCTCATTTAAAGTTTCATTTACCTTTAGTCATTCAAGTGTATGTGTCAAATAAGTAAGCGGGTATATGTTCCTGGGGTTTAGGGGAGGAATACAAATGTCTAGAAATAGATATTTGGCTATTATCAGATGATACTTGAAGTCATGCAACTAGATGAGAATAACCCAGGATGAGAGAGTGTTTGGTACAGAATTAATAAGGAAAACCTATTATATACAACATTTTCTGGCAGGGGTGACCCCACTTAATTCAGCACTCTTCACTCTCAATTCACCTCTTTTTTGTCTTGAGCTCCAGCAATGTCAGCCATGTTACTGTCATTGATAATACAGCATGGTCAGTGTGGAGCCCCTGACACTGAGTAGGCATTGGAGCTAAGACTAATGGAATATCGGAAATATTCTAGTTCAGGAGAAAATAAAATGCACTTTGTTGCCAAGAGTAAAAGGCTACCTTTAACAAGCCAGAACTTTGTCATGGCATATTGCCAAATTTTTTTAGCAGGTGCCCTGCCAAGAAGGGAGTGGGAGGACAAAAACTATCAACAATGCAGGGTCATGTTTGAGTCTTCCTGGAATGTCCACCTCTGTGGTAATGCTTGCAGGATTATCAGGCTAGGCTGGACTCATGGTAAATGAGCATATCCTGCTCATTGGTGGATCTTTTTATTATAAGAAAAGAGAATCATGTGAGGAATATGTGGGAATTGGAGCCTGGAATTATGTACTTTTGGTTTTCTTCACTTTGTCTTGTGGCAGCATTAAGTCTCCTCCTTTCATTGCTGTTCCTGTGTTGCCTTTGGCTAGCATCCTTTCTGAGGTCGTGTGTCTTCTGGATTCTGACAGTTGGTGCAAGGGGCCGGTTTCTATGTCAGCAGTGTGAGTAGGATCATGCCTGTTGGCATGAATATTATGGAGATGTCAGCTGAAAGAATCATACTTGTTATTTTGAGGTTTGGAGTCAAATCCCTACTCATCATCTTCTCAAAGATTATAATAGTACATGTGCATTTTGGGAAAAGAATATGTTTTTATAAATTTTAAGAAGTGATAAAACACAACAAACAGTAAAAACTGAGAGTTTTGAAGGAAGATATGTCACATAAAGAAACCAATGATCTGAAATATATAATTATGAACTTCCAAATCAACCAACCACATTTGGGGAATATTTTTCAGTTTGTTGAACTGTTTGGTGAGTGGGGTGTTAAATTTTATGTGGTGATTTGTACCTATAAAAAGATGCAGTCATAACAATGATTTATGTAAAAGAGTGATTTTGGGGCCAATAATGTTAATTTTAGGTAGTACCAAGGTTCTAGAGGAAGCCAGTGATACCAGTTTTGGAGTATGTGCCATTCAGAAAGTTGCTTAAGTAGTAGGGAAAGCTCAAGCAGTAATATTATCCACTAATAACTTGAGTGTCAACTATCAATTTGCTTTTTGGTGAATACAATTGTTAGGGATTGGCAGAAAAAAGAATTGTTCAACATTTTAATCTTGTTCATAATTTAAAGGCTCAAAGCCTGCATAAAGATGGGTAATGTGGAGCCTACATTCTGGAAGGCTGTTGTGAAGCCTGCCAATGTTGTCAAGTTTCAGGATAATGAGAATAAACAATGGAAGCAATATAGTTGAACACCATTATTTTCCCTCACAGACCTTTTCAGCTGAAAGAAATTTGGTCATTCAGGAAGAGAATGGCTGCCATTCTTCATTTCCTCATCATTATTCTAATTGAAAATTTGAGTTATTACCTTTAGAGAATAATCAAGAATTTATTCAAAGTGAATTTTTATAAACTCCTCAGTGCTCATAACTCACATGCAGAGATCTTAGAATTAGATGTCTTCCATGGTTTTGACACTCCGAAAACATTAATCATCTGTGTTTTCTTTTTAAGGGCTCATTTATGGATAGGTTCTTGGCAGTATTACTGACTTGATTTGCTCAGGTACACATATGCCCCTTAACTAACTGCATAGAATTATACCTATTCCTAAATTACACCAAGAAATTCAGTGTCACTCCTTGAGCAAAACTTGCTTCACCTACCTCTGAAATGCACAAGAGGAATGTTTTTCTCTGAAACAGAGAAAAAGAACTACAGAATCTGAACAATTCACAGTTGCTGTTGATTCTGTTGCTGTTCTACGGACTTTATGTCTTCAGTGATACACTGGCTGTCTTCCAGCTCTGCCTAGGTCACGGTCATGCCCACACACACTTTAACACACAAACTCTAAAAATTCTCACACTTGTTTATCTTTTGTTGCTAAAGAGTGGTTACTATATGAGTAAAGGGTTTTAGTTTAAAGGCCACATACAAATGGAAGAAATAAATTAATTGAAATGATACTGCAAATCCCAGAATTACTGGGAAGGCAGAATAAATAGGTTTCGATTTAATGCAGCAAGAGTCACAACAACAAGAACAACAACAGCAAAACACATCATGTAACTGGTCTGGAGAAAATAGCAGTTGGTACACTGCCGAGAACTACGCCTTCAGGTGTGTCTTGCCTGCACTATTGCTGGTAATTCCTGAATTTGGCTCCTGAATTTCAGCCTAGTGTCCCTGAAAAGCAGATACTATGCCATCACCACTATCAGCAGAGCACATTTTCAACTATCTTTTCTTTTTGTCATTAGTTCTTTATTTATAATACAGGCTGGGTACATCTGAGAGATGCTGTGGAAATGTGCCTGTCCCCTAGCTGCAAGAAAGTCTGGGATAGCGAGTATATACCACCTTTTGCTTCTGCAGTAGGATATACCTCCCATCAAGATCTGTAAGTTGTGAATGTCTCTAAATTTAAGGAGGAAGATCAGATGCTAGGCACCCCCCAAAAATGACAAATGTCTATGATAGGATACCACTCTTTGGCTGCCTAAAATCGTAACATATTTCTTTCTACATGTATACTTCGATTTTTTCAGATGTCATAGTAAAATGATCTCATAATAGACATTGGAGACTATGAACGGTGAGAGCATGGGAAGGGGGGGTGAAAATTGAAAAACTACCTAATCGGCACAATGTTCACTATTTGAGTGATGGGTACACTGAATGCCCAGACTTCACCACTACACAATATATGTATGTAAGAAACCTGTACTTGTGGATGTGAAGGTCCTCTTCAAGGAGAACTACAAACCACTGCCTAAGGAAATAAAAGAGGACACAAACAAATGGAAGAACATTCCATGCTCATGGATAGGAAGAATCAATATCATGAAAATGACCATACTGCCCAAGGTAATTTATAGATTCAATGCTGTCCCCATCAAGCTACCACTGACTTTATTCACAGAATTGGGAAAAACTCCTTTAAAGTTCATACGGAACCAAAAAAGAGCCCTCATAGCCAACAGAATCCTAAGCAAAAAGGACAAAGCTGGAGGCATCACGCTACCTGACACCAAACTATACTACAAGGCTACAGTAACCAAAACAGCATGGTACTGGTACCAAAACAGAGATATAGACCAATGGAAAAGAACAGAACCCTCAGAAATAACACCACACGTCTACAACCATCTGATCTTTGACAAACCTGACAAAAACAAACCATGGGGAAAGGATTCCCTATTTAATAAATGATGCTGGGAAAACTGGCTAGCCATATGTAGAAAGCAAAAACTGGATCCCTTCCTTACACCTCATACAAAAATTAATTCAAGATGGATTAAAGACTTAAATGTAAGACCTAAAAACCATAAAAACCTTATAAGAAAACCTAGGCAATACCATTCAGGACATAGGCATGGGCAAAGACTTCATGACTAACGCACCAAAAGCAATGGCAACAAAAGCCAAAGTAGACAAGTGGGATCTAGTTCAACTAAAGAGCTTCTGCACAGCAAAAGATACTACCATCAGAGTGAACAGGCAACCTACAGAATGGGAGAAAATTTTTGCAATCTACTCATATGACAAAGGGCTAATATCCATAATCTACAAAGAACTTAAACAAATTTACAAGAAAAAAATAACCCCATCAAAAAGTGGGCAAAGGATATGAACAGACACTTCTCAAAAGAAGATATTTATGCAGCCAACAGACATATGGAAAAATGCTCATCATCACTGGTCATTAGAGAAATGCAAATCAAAACCACAATGAGATACCATCTCACACCAGTTAGAATGGCGATCATTAAAAAGCCAGGAAACAACAGGTGCTGGAGAGAATGTGGAGAAATAGGAACACTTCACACTGTTGGTGAGAGTATAAATTAGTTCAACCATTGTGGAAGACAGTGTGGCAATTCCTCAAGGATCTAGAACTAGAAATACCATTTGACCCAGCTATGCCATTACCAGGTATATACTCAAAGTATTATAAATCATGCTACTATAAAGACGCATGCACACATATGTTTATTGCAGCACTATTCACAATAGCAAAGACTTGGAACCCACCCAAATGTCCATCAGTGATAGACTAGATTAAGAAAATGTGGCATATACACCATGGGATACTATGCATTCATAAAAAAGGATTAGGTCATGACCTTTGCAGGGACATGGATGAAGCTGGAAACCATCGTTCTCAGCAAACTATCACAAGGACAGAAAAACCAAACACCACATGTTCTCACTCATAGGTGGGAGTTGAACAATGAGAACACATGGACAGAGGGTGGGGAACATCACACACCAGGGCATGTCAGGGGGTGGCAGACGGGGGGAGGGATAGCATTAGGAGAAATACCTAATGTAAATGACGAGTTGATGTGTGCAGAACACCAACATGGCACATGTATACATATGTAACAAACCTGCACACTGTGCACATGTACCTAAAACTTAAAGTATATATAAAAAAAGAAACCTGCACCTGTGCCCCTTAAATACAGAAAAATAGTTTTTAAGAAAGAAAAAAATACAAAAAAATTCCATATAAGTCTGAGGCTGTACTCCCAGCTTACCAAAAGGGAGATAACACCAATCCTATCAGTTGTCGATTGGCCCAGGCCACCCTCTCTGAGTAATAGCAATTCCTCCCCTTGTTCTGCTGTGACCCTGACCAGAGAGTCTTTCAACTATGGATTTCATTGTGAAGTTAATTGTATAAAATAGTGAGGAAGAGGGAACTGAGAGTTGGAAGACTAGTTAAAGTTACGTTAGTTAAGCTATAAGCATATGTGTGATACTGAGAGGAAGATTTAAAAAAAAATTCACTGAGGTGGGTTCACAGAGACCCCCTTTCACTTCCATTTGATTTTTTTCCTTTCATCCAGCTCCATCTTATACATGCATGAAACAAGTCTTATTGATAAGGCTTTCTCAGTTTATCACAGCCTTTTTTACATTTCCTTTCCCCC
Organism: Homo sapiens; assembly: GCF_000001405.40. Lineage (NCBI taxonomy): Eukaryota > Metazoa > Chordata > Mammalia > Primates > Hominidae > Homo > Homo sapiens. The sequence continues at coordinate 80,468,665 of NC_000013.11, forward strand.
ATAGCCATTATCTTGGATCCAGATATTGGAGAACCTCTATATTGCCCAGACATTTTCTTTTTCCTTTCTCCTCCACAAATTCTTTTTATAAAAGCTAGTTATCTTTAAAAATGCACATGTAACTGTCTCTCTCTCTCAGCTTCCAGTGATTTGTAATTACCCTTTTGAGAAAGTCGAGCGCTCTCAGCATGGCTTAGAATATCTTCCCAGTTTGACCGCTGCCTTCCCCAGCCTCATCTCCCATGTCTCTCTTTCTTTGTGCTCCAGTTACATTCCTATGTCAGTTTCTCAGAAACTCCATTCTCTTTCCAGCCTCAGGGCCTTGCCGTAACCTTTCCTTTACTTTGAAATATTCTTGCCAATGCCTTCTCATTCTCCAATTTCTGGAGTCTCAGCTGAATTTCAGATCTTCAGGTCTTCATCATACATGCCTCTTCTAAGCCCAAACAAGCAAGGTGGCCATGTCTGCTGCTCTTTATACCACTTATTGTCATGGGCATGACTTCTATTGCTATTAGGTTGGCGCGAAAGCAGTCACTGCTTTTGCCATTGAAAGTAATGGCAAAAACCGCAATCACTTTTGCAACAACCTAATATTTGCTAAGTGCCTGTCTTGCTCCATTGCTCCAAAAGGAAATGGGCAGTGTCAGCCTGTGCACTGCTGCCTCCTCAGTGCCTGGGATACCTGTGACCTGACACAAGGGAGGCACCCAGCAAGTAATTGCTGAACAAATGAGTATGGGAAGAGGTTCTGCCTTGGTCATTATCAGGCCAGGCATTATGTTTTCAGGTTTCCATTTTCTCATGATAAAACTTCTTCATAAGAGGAAATCATCCTCTGATTTCTCAGGTAATTGAGGTTTGAAGGTACGAATGGGAAGGTATGAATTCTGTTTGCATTAAGGAATGAAGCTCATTTTGCTGTGGAGAGGTAGAATCGTTTTGCAAGAGGCCAAAATATCATTTGTTTCCCAGCACTAAACTTTGGCAAGAATAGTTCTCTGCTAATTCAAGTGACCAAGAATTTATGCAATTTCCTCTGAAGAAAATTATCCTTTTGAGAGCAGGAAGAAATATTTTACCCCCCTTACTGAAAGTTAATCGTTTTACCAGGATCTGTTTCTTCTTGCACCTGATTTTCTTCTTTCTTACACAATCAACTGTATCTGCTTTGTATAAATCTCTTGAATTTAAAAATTTGCCTTTCAGATGCCTGGTGTCCTAGGATGTGTATATTGAATCACCAGAAATAATTCAGTGACATATTATGCTAGCTTATTTCATACATATTTCCAACTTATGACTCATTGGTTTGAAGAGGACAAATGTGAACTAAGAGAAAACAGAGGACTTGATGTACTTGTGCCTGAGAGGATGAATCACTGTGCTGCTGGCGAAGGATCCTGGGTCAGAGTTGTCTGTCTCATGGGTTTGAATGACCCTCAGTGTTCTCTGTCCTGGCCCCACTCATGAACTCACATGCAACCTCACACAAACACACATCCAAAACACCACTCGCTTCTTACTTTGGAAGCCCCACAAAACTATTTCAGGCTGGAAGGCATGCATATAATAAAGAAAGTGGTTGTCTTGGAGGCTACAACTTGATAAAGGAACACGTCAGAGAGACCCAAAATGTTCACAGTGGCATTTTCATTCTCAGTGTTCAAGGAGTTGTATTTTCCACTCTCTCTCCACCATCTGTTTTTCTTACTATAGCAAATGTCATTTCCTATGGCGTTTAGCAGAATATGAAATGGGATTGTTTTCTAGTGAATTTTGATGCAGTTTTATGATTTTCCTTAGAGCCTGCCTGCCTGCTTTCTTTCTCTCCTTCCTTCCTTCCTTCTTTCCTTCCTTCCTTCTGTCCGTCCGTCCATCCATCTTTCCTTCCTCCCTTCCTTCCTTCTTTCCATCCTTCCTTTCATTTTACTAAAAAAAGTAGAAGTAGCTTTAACAGTACATTGATCAGACCAACTTTAAAATAACTCCTGTAGATTTGCCTCTAAACCTGGTTTGAAATTTGTGATAAGACAAAGTTCTTAAATATGTTAATTTTTAATCTGTTTATAACAAGCACAAATTCCCAAAGCGGTGTAAAGCTGTTAAGCAGTAAATTCCCATTAAAGTGACAAGCTAAGGATTTAACTTAATTGAAGGGGGAATGTGTATGTGGTTTTGTGTATGGAGGTAGAGAGGTGTGTGCCTGTGTGTCTGTAAAAGTAGTAAAGGAGGATACAAGGTAGAGGAAAGAGCAAAAGAGGAGAATTCAGGAAACAATAACAGCATGTACTTACATAGCATTTTCTATGTGTCAGACATTGTATGAACTCTACATTTTTAATTTAATTCTCAACATAGCCACACATTGGAGGTATTGTTGCTTTCTCCATTTTACATATGAGAAATGTAAAGGTTAAATCCTACAAAAGCTAAGGTCACACAGCTATTAAGTGACAGAGGTAAATGGTTCACATCCTAAGCATTATATTATGCTGTTTTCTCTCAACTACGACTCAAGCATACATTTGTAGCATAATGAAAGAGAGGATCCTTTGTGAAACATTAGCACCAGATTTATTGTCTCTTTGGGCAGAGAAAAGCCAAAGGGTTTTGGAAATCTTTCACCAATAGCAAGACTGTGGTCTACCGGAGAAGGTGGCTGTGTAGCTTAAGGGAATATGGCAAAGAGAAGCCAAGAGAGAACTCAGAATGTCTGGAGTATGAGATGTAATCACTGGGGCAGTATTGATGGTGGACTCTGCCCATGAGGCGCAACGCTGTGATGTCTGTTCTGGAAATATGTCACCACTTCAACTCTTCTCTTTCCATGACTGATTAGATGATGATTTACTCTCACAGAAAGAATGGAGATTAGGATGGGAAGAAAAGGCTCCCTCTGTTGAGGATGGCTCAACTCTGTGAAGCTGCTAGAGAGGTGCCACAGGAAGATGAGAGTTGAAATTAACCTTAGGGAAGGCAGAGATAGAAATAAATTGATTCATATTTTAGAGATATGTTTTTAGGGTCAACTATTCTGCTTTTCTCCAACTTAAAAAAGAAAAACTCTTATTACAATAGGTTTCCTCTTCCTAACAAGGGCTTCAGTACTTAAATAGGGTTCAATGATGGAGTTAATTTCTTGGATTTAGGATCCCACTGCTCTCCATTCCTTCTTTCCTATTTATTCATAAAATCTAATTTTGGTTCCAGACTCCATGTATGTCACTTTCATTAAACAGGAAATAATATTAAATTTTGCAGCCACCACAGGAGTAGCAGTTTTGGGAATTCTCATTCACTCTGAGTTTATAAGAAGGCTCAGAAAAATTGACAAGTATGTTCTTCAAATTGTCATTAGGGTAAATTTGTTGAGCTTTACACAATTTTGGGTAGGATTTTAACCTTCAGAGTTTTTTGGCACACAAATGTATTGACTTGGCAACCATTGTGTGTTCCATACAGGCAAAACCTTGTTGGCATTTGGAGTATCTGGGAGAGGAAAAGAAAGATAATCTTTTCTTCTCTTGGCTTCAGATCCAATATAGACAGAAAAAAAATCAGACAAAATATTATTTCTTGGCCGGGCGCAGTGGCTCACACCTGTAATCCCAGCACTTTGAGAGAAGGAGGCAGGTGGATCATGAGGTCAGGAGATCGAGACCATCCTGGCCAACATGGTGAAACCCTGTCTCTACTAAAAATACAAAAATTAGCTGGGTGTGGTGGCACGCGACTGTAGTCCTAGCTACTTGGGAGGCTGAGGCAGGAGAATCACTTGAACCTGGGAGGTGGAGCTTGCAGTGAGCCAAGATCGCGGCACTACACTCCAGCCTGGGTGACAGAGTGAGACTCCGTCTCAAAAGAAAAGAAAAAAAATTTTTTTTTAATTTGTCGTGTGCTTTAAAGATACTCCTAGTTTATTCTTCCAAACTAGAAGATAATGCAGTCATAAAATTGAATACTTGTTACCTTATGATACAAGAGCATTGAGAATGGCTACAGAAATATACAAGTGTTGCATTCCCAAATGGAATCGAGCAGACAAAAAAACAGCAATTCAGGAAACAAACAAGAACCGCACTCCTGCCACCAATTCCAGTAGATTGAACACATTCTATATGGATGTTGTATAGTAGTCATATATTTTTTATTCAAACTAGATTAACCAAAATAAGAGAGTTCATCTTTTAGTTTGGAAAAGATGCTGGGAGTAGGTCACATGATTTAAAGAAAAGTTTCAGGTATTAGGACCTTACCAGCTGGTTCTAAAATTCAATACTGTCAAATTTCTTCTCTCCTCATCCTTGCGTTTTCCTCTCCTCTCCTTCCAACCTCTCTCTTTCTGCTATCTGTTCGAATTTATATACTTTCCCCCCTGGCAGGGACTTCTCATATTCTCCTAAATTAGCAAACCTACTAGAAACAGAACTTTTCTTCCAAATGTAATATAACCATTTCAGGCAAGGTCTTTTATTGGCTTGATCGAGTGACATGTCCAACCCTGGACTAAGCAAAATGGAATTCCAGTTAGTTGGAGTTTCAGGACTTATTACAAGACTAATAGACACTGCTTATAATAAGCTTATAGTTTATTAAAAAGATAAAATATTACACGTGGAATAAACAGCACTCATTATTTGGCAACGCTTATTTTATCAGGTTTTATAAAATTGACAGACTTTTCTATTATATAAAAATTGAATTACATGTATGGAAGACTTACAGAAGTGCTGAATTTATCTTCCACAAGATAAAAGCCTTCTTTGGACCCCCAGAGTTGAGCAGGTTTAAGCTTTTATCATGAAAATGAACTCAATAAAAGCACTGAAGCTATATATTTAATAATGTTGTATTTGAAACAAGGGGCACATTGGATTGTTTTTACTTTCCCTGTATTTTCTAGACAGTGTAATTAAGAGTTGTTATTGTGCCCACTTTAAAGATTGTTCAGTTGAATTATTAATCTCCATCAATACTCTGCATGGGAAACCAAGTAGAAATTATGATCTTCTTAAAATAAAAGCATGCTTTAAAGAAAAGCATATAAACCCTATAACACCACAAAGACCAGGAATTTTTTGTAAGGTATTATTTCAGCTCTCCAAATGGTGCAGAGATTAAAGACAGGCCCAAATTAACATCTGCTACAGGGTACTGGACTCCAGGTAGTGGAACAGATGGAGAGAATCCAGCTCATGGATCACTGCAGGCAGGAGTGAGTGACTGAGCAAAAACAAATAAACCCATGAATCACAGCCCTGGAGGACAGAACTACAGTATTTACACAAAGTTTCATCATGGAACTTGGGCTAGTATTTGAGTTGTATATACTTAAAAACACTTAGGATAGCTGCTTCAGAAGCTTCAATTATCCTTTTGAGTTCCATTTATTTATTTACGTATTGACAATTCTATGGTATATATGTACAAAGTTATTAACCATGCACTACTGTATAAATGTAGAACTCCTGAAAATAATTTAAAATTTGCCTAGTCTTTAACCTGATTCATTAACCTCATTCAATCAGACATAGATATATTATGGTATCTATATACAATAAAATCTGTATATAGTTCTCTTTACTGGCCCTGCACACGAGCCCTTGTCAGAGACCAGTATTTCTCTGACAAAAAGAGTTATCTAAATCTTTTTTCCTCCAAGTTTTGTCCATGTACCACCAGCAACAACATCACAGCAGAATCTCAGGCTCCATCACAAACCCACTGAAATTAAAACTGGTGTTTGACAAGACCTACTGGTGATTCCAAGTGTCTCTAGGATTTGTGTAAGCAAACAGTAATGGAGAAGGTCATTTTAGAAGGGAGGCTTGCCGGGCATGGGGGTTCATGACTGTAATCCCAGCACCTTGGGATGCCGAGGCGGGTGGATTGCCTGAGCTCAGGAGTTTGAGACCAGCCTGGGCAACGCAGTGAAACCCCATCTCTACTCGGGAGTCTGACACAGGAGAATTGCTTGAACCCGGGAGGCGGAGGTTGCAGTGAGCTGAGATCGTGCCATTACACTTCAGCCTGGGCAACAGAGTGAGACTCTATCTCAAAAAAAAAAAAAAAAGGCTCAGAGGCAGCAAGAGATATAGAATTTAAAGGTCCCCAGTGATCTGGATGTCGCTGAAGTTTTTAAACTGGGGAATAATGTAAACCAAGTGTTGAGAAAGAAGAGCAATGTGATTCCACCATTTAGGTGGGTGTGGAGAGAGAAGGCGGAAGCACTAAGAACACATGGGGGCACAATACTGAAGCAAAGGCATTATTGGTCTGGTGTGGGCTTTTGGCAATAGGGATGGTAAGGGAGAGACTGTGAAACATTCTGAATTAATTTATTTGATGAATTAGTTAAGTGACTTCTTGGGATGAGTTAACATGACCCCAGGAAAATGAAATCGGTAGGGAGGAGGCACAAAGTTTAATGCAGAGAATATAAGAGCAGTGGTAAATTATAGAGAAAGAATGAAGCCCAGCTCTCAATTTCTCAGGTTTGCACTCTACTCAATTAAACTTATGGTAGTCCCTTTGCCTGACACCTTCATAGCTAAAATATATTTTTTAAAATGAAGGTGGTGGTGGTGGTGGACATCTATATAGCTTCTAAAACATTGACTTTACCCTGCCTAACAGGAGTTTTGACTTTTACTCCTGTGTTACAAAGGACAACTTAGATATCTATTTTCTGAATATTAGAAACATTTAACGAATACTGTCTATATTACAGTGCAACTTTTTCAATATTTAAAAATATTCTGGAATATTTAAGTACTTTAGGGCTGTTATCTTCAAATTACAATATAATTTTAAAATTTTTCATGTTTGATAATTACTGTTTTTTTCTTCACATTTTTTCATGAAAGCCATCAAAAATATACCTCAAATGAATTTCATGATTACAGTGAATCCAAGAGATTAAGAACACTGGATAGTGAAACCACAGACCTCATTTACATTTTCTTAATATAAAATGAAAAATAAAGCATATATTGTTCTTACACCATTTGGTTCAAAGAAGCCAAATAAAAAAGCAACGAAAACAACATACTCCTGACAAAGTGCTCCAATAAACTAATGTTTTTTGACTGAGACTGATGTTTTTGACATTTGTTATTAAATGGAGTTGTTGCACTCTGCAATGCACATGGCAAATTCTAAATACAAGAGCAAAATCCAAACCGAGTAACTCCTCCTTTCACAGTACATCCCGTCATCTTGCTCCTTCCTAGACTGTTCCCATTCACTCAAAATAAGCTTGAGATCCTGCCTTGTGGGGATAACTGCAAACTGCAGTCAGATGTAGGAGCTGCTTAATCAGGTCTCAGAACCAGGCCTTAATTAGAATGCTTGGAAAAGAAGAGCAAATGAAAATTATTAAGCTGCACTGTTTATTCCTGTTTCTAATTTTAAAGAGGAAATCATGCATTAATTAAGCCATGGGTTAATGCTTTGAGGCACATTTTTGAGATACCCTAAAATAACAAGGAGAAATTTTTTTTGTTCTGTTTTGATAAACCCACTCTTGACTACTTGCTATATATGGTATGATATACTTCAACATAGAGTGTAACAGGGCACGCTATACTAAGTCTTGGTTGAATTTTAAAAGAATTACTAGACTTAAGGTGCGGCATGATAATCAAAGTGAGGCAGGTATTCCCTAAAAGTAAAACGGAAATGTGTAAAACCCATTTTCAGAGGTGAATGGAAGGTAAATTAGATGGTTTAAGAGAAGAGCACAATTCTACAAAGAGCTACATGGGCAGATAATTTCTAATGAGCAGAAAATGGCTTTTACAACATATTTTGGTGTTACAGATTTGAATCTGTTGATGATACCATACTTTGTGATAATCAGACTTAAGAAAAATAGAGTGATTGTTTTAAGTGAGAGCAGAAATATTATTTCTATTTTCTACAAAGCAATGACATAGGGATTATGTCTTCTTTAAAAAAGTTTTTAGCAATTCTTTCTCTAATTTTTTTACCCTGATCCAAATTACGAAAATGAAGAACATGCATAGAAATACTCCTTGTAAATTTATCTCCTTACATGACTCTAAAGTAATAATTTAAATTCTTGTTCTTTCTAGCTCCACTGATTTAGATTCTCACTGAGAATGATGAATCCTGGATGCTTCTTTGAAGCATTACAGGTTGTATGAGCATATTCTTTAAGTGTTACATCAGTGCTCAAAAAACTTCAGATTTGGGAGCATTTTGGATTTCAGATTTTCAGATCTAAGATGCTAAACCTGTATTTACTCACCACACAGAGACTGTCGTTCTGCATCTCCACTATTCTCTCAATATCCAAAGGTCATAGAGAGTTGCTTAGCTTATGTGGTCTACTTTCATTTTGAATGTCTTTATGATAAAAATGATCTATCTTTAAAGCAAAATTTTATTATTAGGTCTTTTGCAGTCTAAAAGCTGTGTGAGGAGAGAGACTGAATCCAGTGTGTGTGTGTGTGTGTGTGCACGTGTGTGCATGCACATGCACGTGCTTCTTATTTACTATAGAATTTTAAACACAGTAAGCATGCAGAAGCTATTTGCCATGTAACAGAAACTACAGGTGGGGCATTGGGCATCATTTAGATTAGGGAAACATGCTTTGGGATTCAGAGATACAATTCATTAAGAAGATGGAAAAGTATTAAGAAAATTATGAAGGTAAAGCTCTTTAGGAGACATTTTAATAGGCAGAGTTTCAAACAGTTGCATTAAGTAGGAAAACTCACATTCTTTCCTTGAATCATTCTCTTTCTTAAGATCAGACCATTATATTAACAGGTTTTTGGGTTTTTTTTTTTCCTCCCTGTTTTTCTAGCACTTTATTTCAGGCACTTCCCTCCTTCTGACATTTTTCTGAGTTCCTTACACTCTGGAGTCAAAGATCCCACAGTTTTCCACCAGCCAATTCTGACCTCTTGTTCTTCCCAACCACCACTATCATAAAACCAACAACAACAAACAAACAAAACAAAACAGTTCTCCATGTATAGCCCTTTGGGGCTCTATGACGAAGACCCTGTTTTATCAAAGACTGTTTTCCAGAGCTTGCACTCATCTTTGACACATAGTGTCATCATCTCCCCCTTTTATTTTTTTGCATGCTTTTGTTCCTTTAGCTCACTGGTAATAATGTTTGCTGAAAGGAAGGGCAGAACAAGCTGCAACAGGACTTATGACACCATATCATGGAAAGATAGCCTCCCGGTAAATCTAGGCCTCCCGGTAAAGATTAGCAGTATAATGAATAACAAGTTATAAACAGACCCTGAGGTTAAAGGATAGCAGCATGCTCTTGGCCCCCACCTTATATAGCAGACATTTTTTCCACAGACGTTGGGCCAGAGACATCAGGGCACCCATAGGGACTCATTCAAACATTCTCATTGTGCTTTTCATACTGTTTACTAGCCTGGACTGCAGATCCGAAAAACAGCCAGCCTTCACATTGTTGTTCTCTATTTTCATCTTGGGCAAAAAGTGAGAAACACTTGTTTGGAAAATTAGGTATTTTTAGTCATAGTGCAATGAGTGTTAGGTGTTTGTGGTTATCATGTTTAGTATGTGGAGGCTGACAGGAACAAACATGTTCAGATTGAGGTCCAGAGGTGTGAAAAGACATTAACAAGAATAAGGCTATAAAAATACATGTCTCTTCTTACAAAGCAAAACACTGCATGTGTTTCTTCAAAGAACTGAAAGGTCCTTATACATGAGGATGAGGTTTGCACCATTATTAATTCAAGATGCTCTTTCACAGGGAAATGGCTCTGAAACTAGGTGTCGTATATATATATATATATATATATACACATATGTGTGTGTGTGTATATATACACATATATATACACATACATATGTATGTATATATACATATATACACGTATATATGCATACATATATATGTATATATACATATATACACGTATATATGCATACATATATATGTATATATACATATATACACATATATATGCATACATATATATGTATGTATGCATATATACACGTATATATACATATATACACATATATGTGTATATATACACGTATATACACGTATATATACGTGTATATATACATATATATATAGGCTAATGAGTTATTTACATTTAACACAACCATTTATTATCCTCCCATTATGTGCCAGGCATTTTGCTCAAGGTCAGGGATAAAAAGAGCAGGACTTTTGCCTGAGGGGAACTTGGAAGCTTGGTTGAACAACAGGGTTATAAGTAAATATCATGTAACATCCTGATTTTAGTGCTGTAGTAGAAATTATTCTAATTAGTATCTAATGGGCATAGAGGAACATCCGTACTGCCAAGGATTGGTGGGAATTGAGAGTGAAAAAGAACGATTAAGAGAGAAGGGATTTTGAACAACTTGGAGCAGAACGTTGACGAGGATTCATAGATACCACGCAAGGGGAACAACAAGTAATTTGTGTATTTTTAGCAATGGTTCTCAAAGTGCAGTTCCTAGACTAGCAGCACCAGCATCACCTAAAGCTAGTTAGGAATGCAAACCTGCTCCACCCCAGACCTGCAAAATCAGAAACTCTGGAGGTGGGGCCCGGCAGCCAGGGGTTTATACACCCTCCAGGTGATTGTGGTGCATGCTACAGTTTGGAAACCACTAGCTTTAGGGCGTGGGCTCTCAAACTTGACTTCGTGTCAGAATCACCTGGGAGTTTAAAAATATGATGCCCGTACCCCATCTCAGAGGATCTGATTCAACTGGTCTGAGGAAACTGAGATTCTGAGAAGAGAGTAATTTCTCTAAGGTCACATAGTTAATAGGTAGGAATTAATGCCCGGGCCTGTCACCAAAGCCCCAGTTTGTTCATTTTGTTGCATAGACCTCTCAATCTGTGTGAGGGCAGAGATAGAACAGCCTTTCCCGTGGATGCCTGGGCTCATTATAAAAGGCCTTTCATTGTTTATTTCTGTTCTGTGAAAGAATAGAGTCTTTGTGCTGGGCGCCGAGGCTCACACCTGTAATCCCAGCACTTTGGGAGGCCGAGGTTGGGGGATCACCTGAGGTCAGGAGTTCGAGACCAGCCTGGCCAAGATGGTGAAACCCCATATCTACTAAAAATACAAAAATTAGTTGGGCATAGTGTCTCACACCTATCCCAGCTACTCAGGAGGCTGAGGCAGGAGAATCACTTGAAATCAGGAGGCGGAGGTTGCAGTGAGCCAAGATTGTGTCATTGCACTCTAGCCTGGGTGACAGAGGGAAACTCTGTCTCAATTAAAAAAAAATAATTATAAAGAGTCTTTGAACAGTAATGGTACTTGAAGATGTGGCTTCGTAAGTTGAGAACAAGGTATAAATATACCTTAGCTATATTTGTGTTATGTTACTTTTAAAAAATGCTAGCGAATTTGTTTGCATACCTATAAACTCTCTAGACTTACTACAATATACCCCCACTTTCAGTAAATCCGATATACAGAAATTTTATTTAGAACCAAAAAATAAAATCGCCCTCAAGCAGACAATATTTTTACTTTACAAAAGCATTCACATGGGTTTCCAGGCCCTCAAGTTCAGTGTTTACTCAGCTATTATGTGGGTAAGGGCTACTGGTGGCCTTTGAGCTTTTTATAGTAGACTTTATGTGTTAGAGAAGTTTTAGGTTCACAGCAAAATTGAGCAAAAGGTACAGAGATATCCCATATCCTCTCTGCACCCACACATGCACAGCCTCCCCCATTATCAGCATCCCCACCAGAGTGGTACACTTGGTACAATTGATGAACATGCATTGACACATCATCATCACCCACAGTCCATAGTTTACATTAACGGCTCACTTATAGGTGCTGTACATCCTGTGAATTTTGACAAATGTATAATGACATGTTTCTACCATTAGAGTATCATAGAGAATAGTTTTACTGCCCTAAAAATCTTCTGTGCTCCAACTATTCATCCCTCCACTGATCATCTTTTTATCATCTGCATAGCCTAGCCTTTTCCAGACTATCATACATTTGGAATCATACAGTAGGTAGCCTTTTCAGACTGGCTTCTTTCACTTATTAATATGTGTTTAAGTTTTCTCCATGTCTTCTTATGGCTTCATAGCTAATTTCTTTTTAGTGCTGAATAATGTTCCATTGTCTGGATGTACCACAGTTTATCCACTTACCCGCTGAAGGACATCTTTGTTGCTCCCAAGTTTTAGCAAACATGAATTGAGCTGCTGTAAACATCTGTGTGCAAGTTTTTGTGTACATGGACATAAGTTTTCAACTCCTTTGGGTAAACAGTAAGGACTTCAATGGCTGAATTGTATGGTAAGTGTGGGTTTAGTTTTGTATGCCCTTGAGATTTTTATTGGTATGCAAATGATATTCAAATGATTTGTAGTTAAACATGATTTAATGGCTCTTCTAAGCAAAGATACCTGATCTCTCTGCTAAATGCTCTGCATGGATTATATCATTTAATCTGTGCAACCAGATATGAGATACATAATACTACTTTTACAGAGGCTTAGGAAGATCAAATAGCTTTCATTAACTGTATAAGCTTGGATGTAGTCAATCCAGGATTTAATTCAGACCAACTGAAAACAGAGCCCATCTTTAAACTGTTTTGAACTCCATGTCACTCTAGGTGTCTGTGTTTCATAGTCCCTTCTTAGCAAAGTAGCCACTAATGGTTCTTATTTACTGCCCGCAGCAGCTAGCTGGACACCTGGGAATTTGGTGATCTTGGAGGTGGCCTGGATCTAGAACTCTGCCTTTTAGGAAGTTTCTCTAATGAGTTCTGCCTAATTGAGTATTTTCTTTCAAAGAATTTTGAAATATATTAATCAGATAGTATATTGCTTAGCAACTTGAAGAGACGTGAAGAAGCAGAAATCCATCTGACTGCTACAGAGAGAGGTGTTTTTTTCTGTGTGTGTGTCTGTTTTTTTTTTTTTTTTTTTTTTTTGGTTGTTGTTTACCTACTTCTGGGTGTTTTCTTAGAAAAACTCCCATCACTTAGGGAAAACTTGCTGTGTCTTTGTTTAGTGTCATCTCAAAGAGCCTGACTAATATAATCTCAGAAGAATCCAATGAGTTATGTATGTATGGGTGTGGAAACTTAAAAATTGAGCTTTGAACTTGTATATGAGTCAGAGACTATTTTGTCAATCTGGAGACATGAATATGTGCTCCACCCACCATCTTTTAATTACATGTATTGATACCTGAGATAGGGAAAAGGAAGATCTGAGTTCTTGACACAGTTCTGCTATTGGGCTGCAAAGGTCTCTTAGGGTATATTTATTTTTCACTTCTTCTGCTGATGCCTTGAGTGACCCTGACATTCAGCATCTAGTTCTCCACAGCACATTTGAGCAATTGTTAGAATCACCAGAATGACAGAAGAAGAATTTCATACCTAAGCAGACTTTGTTAGAAACATAATTTACACATATGTTTCTATCATGTACTTATTTGACTCTGATGATGATTCTTCGTATACTTAGGTAGAGGCAGATGTGTGATTTTTTTTTAGCTAGCATAAATCATTTTCTTTTGTATTGGGGGATTTCTAGTTCAAATCCAGGTAACAGCTCACCTATTATGCCTAGTGTGTAAACAGTTTCACCTCTCCTTTGCTCAAATACTTGGAATCATAATTATCTTCTTTAAAATTTGGCCATAGGCAAAATCTTTGTCGGATATATTCTCATTCAGCATGCCAAATCAGAATCGCAAACCACAAGGCAGAGTCTTTGCTAGATTACCATGTATTGCATGGAGGTATAATATAATTTCCAATTAACTCCTTTTGAAACATTGTTTCTTAGTGTGTTATTAACCTAACTATTCAAGTCATTAGATTTTTATTATAATGGTACTGAGAATAATTGTTGGGACATCTTCAGCTGTTTCCCACCCATGCAATTTCCTTTGACACTTCTGTGTTAAAGTACAGCTGAATCTTTTAGTTTATAATTATTAATATATGACCAAATATGAGCATTGTTTTCATAATTATTATATATCCACAGAAAATATTGTCCAAAATTATATAGCCCAAGCCCACATTAATGTAACATTTCTTTTCATTAAGATGATGTCACAGAGTCCAAAGAAGGTCAAAGAGATTCAAGAAAGGGCAATTTTAAAGAGTTCTTTAGACCATGTATGTTAGAAGGAACTCAGATAGTTTTGTTATTCTATAAACCTCAAGATAAAGCTGATAAGAATGTTTTGATCAAAATTCAATTGCTTCTCTGAATAATTTAGATTACTGTTAGATTAGAACTTCCATAGAAGAAGATACAAGTGTTTGCTTTTATTTGTGTTTTTGTTTTTAAAGATGGATCTAAGTCATGAAAGAGGGCTGGGTATGGCACAGGAGGCCTATGTTCATCGCTGTATCTCAGTTAAGCAAATAGCTCCCTGGCTACAAGCAGAAATGGATGCTCTTGTTATAATAATTTGCTTTAGCAAGAGATCTTACTCTGTTTTTGCCTTTCTTCTTGTTGTGGGTCATTTAAACATCTGTTCTTATGACACAGGAATTTTCCAGATGGATGTGTGTTTGTTGCTCTGTCAGAAAAATCTAATTTTATAAAGGAAGTAGCATGATGGCCAAAGTGTTCTTTGTTTCCCTCTACACCCTGATATTAATGAGAAAAATCCTTTGGCCATGTCTCCATTAAAGCTAACCAACATCCGTCTTCCCTGTTACATAACATGGTCTTGTTATGATCAGACCAGTTGTCTTTAGTCTTTCTCTGAACACTTGCCATTGTTCCCTCTGTGAGGGCTATACTTTTTTCCCTTTTAATATATTTAAAATCCATTAATTACAGGCCTAATACAAGACTTCTTTAGTCATCCTATAAAGAAATTTTACTGAGAGCAGTACATTTAGAGTAGAAAGAACAAAGACTTTGGAGCTAGGTGGTTCCAAGTTTGATTCGTGGATTCACTACTGACTAAATGAGAGCCATTGAACAAGTTACTTAATCTTTCTGAATGCCAGTTTTCTTGTCTGTAATATAGAAATAATGTCTTATCTCATAGAGTTTTTGTAAAAATTAGATGAGATAAAATTTACCTGGCACCCAAATTTCAGATACCTATGTTATGCCTATTTGTGATAATATTCCCTTAAGCAAAATAATTTATTTGTATCAAGTTTATTCATGCCCATAATTGAAATATCCACATTATTATACAAGGTTTGCTTGTTACATACACTAGTCATTCACCACCTCTGCCTGTTCTCCTACTGTGGGTAAACACTTTCAACTCTTTTAGCTATTTCTTTTTGTGTCTATTTCCAGATGCCTTAAATATATCTTATTTTGCAACTTGTTGCTCTTTTGGTTGTAGGTATTATATGTTGATATGGAAGATGAGAATGAAACTTGCCTTAATAGTGCCTCATTATTTTCAACACATACACACACCCTAATGCTCTCTCTCTCTTCCCAGGCTGCCTTTCTCTTATTATAGTCATATCATAATTTTAGTTAAATCAATATTTAGGATTCACATTATGACCATGTAAACACTAACTACAGGTGATAAGATTTCCTATATACTGTAATTGCTGTTCCTTCCAAGAGTGAGTTATTATTTTCTCTGGAGTTATCGAATATCTTGTTTACTTTTGGGGGTTTATTTTTATGTATTTTATGTATACTTGTTGCTAGTTGAAGCCCCAAATCTCCAACAAATGTTTAAGTGACATGTTAACATCATATTATAGAAGAAATCTCTCAGAGCTTTCTGACCTGCTTGAATCTAGGCAAATTGGCCCCTGCGTGGTACACAACTATTCTTCTCTGATCTCCACACCATGATCATCCTAAACATTTTCTTTACCATTTTCCCATGTCAATCCTCTCTTTCTATACCAGCATATATTATGGTAGAGCATACTTTCCAGTAAGTTTGTGGGTATGGGCTCATGCATGTAATAACCTTGTTGATATTTACATGTTTGATGAGTTTTGTATTTTATCCTCACAGCAATTAATAGTTCTGCTGCATCAAGAACTTTACATTAGGAATAATTTACCTTTAGGAAATGGATTTATTGCTAATCTATGATAACTGAAGCCAAGATGACAGAAATTAGTTGGTATAATGTAGAAGAAATATTCTAAAATTATTGAGAGGTAAGAATGTTGGAATAATTTCTTATATGTAACTGTTCATTTGTCTCAAGAAGGGCAGAAGACATTACCTTCATTCAGCTATTAGATATAAAATGATGAGAAAAGAACAAGAATATTTGAAAAGTACTGTAGAAGACATTCTCTTGGGATGCAGCTGGGATGTGCATGCCTGACATTATCATTGGATTAGGCTTCCTGATTTCAGTGGGAATGTTGAGATTCTGTAGAGGTAGAGACCAAACAGCATTTCTTAGATGCCAGGGGCAGGGTCAATATAGTTACTCTGTTAGCTAGTCAGGTCCACAGTGATCTTTAATGATAACTAAGTGAATGTAGAGTCCTTGGATCAAAAGAGGTGGTGAGGCCACCAAAATCCCTCCAATATCTATAAAATCATATACAACTCTAGGTGTGCTGAATAGTAGTATGATTTTCAGCCTTGAGCCATCTCACAGAGCCAAAACTCTCTAAATAAATAAGGAGAGGGGTACCCTTGAAAAAACATCCTGTATCAATATCACACACATTTATTTTGTAGTCTTCCACAAAAGGATTTGAAGAATGTGAAATATCCAGGCCTTTCGAGGGTTGTTACACATAGATTGAGCCCAAGATCAATCCCTAGGAAGCAAAAGGTCACTGCGGTTCACTGGTTGGGTGGATGTCAGAGAATAAATGAAATTCTATTGAAAGACCCTTTCATATTGAGTCCAAGAAGTCACTAATCCCATACTGTGATTATTTTCCATACCACAATCATTCCTGTGTGGACAATTTGATTAAATATATTTAGAAAGTGGTAGATTTCCCAATCTTTCCCTGACACATGCTGTTAAGACTACTATAGTGGGAAGAGCAATGTGCAGACCATGCTCCTTCATAAAATGATACATCAAAAGTGATGCCACATTTCTGGGACTCTTTCAGAAGTTGGAACCACCATCAAGAACCTAGAATGGTGATAGTTTCTTGGATCTCCCCATTCAACTTACTCAACTTACTTGTTTGGTTTGTGCAGAAGGCAGATAGGTAGGTCTTATGAAATATAATGAATTGTAGTAATTATAAGCATATCAGACTCCATTTCAGCTACTGTTTCATATGGTTTTCTTTAAGTGAGCAAATCAACACATATCGGGAAGTTGGTTTACTATGTAGCTGTCAGTGTAGTACTTTTTGGTCTCTATTCCAATAAGTAGAGATTACTATTTGTTATCACTTAGTAGAATAAATGATAAATGTAAGCCTTTAACTTTATCTTTGTTAGCCCTCTAGCTCTATGCCATAATTTAGTGTTTAGAGATTTCGAGCATCTCATAATCATTTAGGATATCATGCTGGTCTATTTTTATCATCTTATCCTTTAGGAAATAATGCCTGTATATTATTAATATATCAATTGTGTTGCTAAGACCATGTAAGCTGAATGTAGCGGTAATAGTAAAATAAATATGTTGGTAACATCTACATGTAAGAGGTAATGTAAGATATATCACATAAAATTCAAAGATCTATTTTCATAACATTTCTGAGAGTCCAGTGGTCCTGGGCTTGTTGAGATATTTCCTCCAAAATAATAGCCTACTAATTAGTCCTTTTTATCCTCTAATAATTATGAAGAAACACAATGGTTCGTGAACTTACTTGGATTAATATATACCACATGTGGACATGTGGCTCTGACATGTTTACTAAGTAAACTGCTTACACAACTGTTTACAAATTGTGAGACTAGAGCTAGGAAAGCATTCCAGCTGGAGTACAAGCAGTTCTTCCTTTGGTCCCTGTGAATCAACAGATCCAATGGAGCTTGTGATATCTTTGGCAGATTGGTGTGTTGTACGGAACATGTGGAAGCCCAGATAGGAGAGCTACGGTAGAGGCCACTAAGGTTTTATTGCAAAGTCATGTCTTCTCAACTGATCTAAGCTTGTTACTGGTTTGGGGTAGAGACTATGAGCAGGTGACTGCAGCCTGAGCTCCTACAATGTGCTGTTGTTATCTTCTAAGCATAAAGGCAAGTAGATTCAGCAGTCTTTCATCAGCAAATTGAAATGGTAATATAAAATCGAGATTTATCAGGTTCTGAAGGCACAAGAAAGATGCATGAGCAGGTAACTGATGTCAATACACGTGCTCTTATGATTGTACATCTGACCCTATAGAATGGCCTTAAGATCAAGTGCCTATAAACAGATGACCTAAAGGGGGGAAAATTTGAATCTATTTTAAAGATAATAGATAAGTTTCTACTATCAGATGAAAGACAACTGCTTTACTATAAACCCAACTAAGGGGTAGCATTAGAGGGAAAGGGAAAGTCTCTTAGTGAAAAAAACTACCAATTTATACCAATTCATAGATAGTGATTACTAGTTTAAATAGTAAGGGATTTGGAGACAGGAGGACTGGTAACAAATTGGTCTGGAGAAGATAAATGTGGATGGGTCTCTTAGAATGAGTCCAAAGTATGGGAACATTTGTGTTCTGGCAAAAACTCACCAGAAGACCCCTCTATGGAGAAGTTTTTAAATAATAATTTAGACAATATTACCCCATGAATGTCAATTTTTCTCACCTAATCCAGTACTTGTTTAATGGGCTCACAAATGAAGTGGTCAGAATAACAGATACGAACATCACGTATGGACTCAACAACATGGAATTCCCCTAACTGCAGCTGCTCTGATTCCTACTACAAATGCTAGCCCAGCTTGTTAGAATCAGTAACAAGATCAGCCCCTGCTATTTTATTTCCCAAAAACGCTAGGTTGTCTTTGGAAATTGATTACATTAAACCTCTTTCATCACAGGATGTGCAGTGATTTGTCTTCACCGGGATAGACTTTTGTTATATACCCTGGCCTTCCTCATGCGTTATGCTTCGAGCACAACTTTTATGATCTTATTGAAAGTCTTACATATTGTGATTTCAAACATAATACTATTTCTGACCAAGGAACCCATTTTATAGCAAAAGAAATAATGAGCCAACATTCAAAAAATTCCCTAGTATTAGGAAGTATTCCATCTCCCAGAAGTAGTGTGCTTTATGGAATAACCTGTAGTGACTGAGCAATTGAGAGATAACTAAGAATGTTCTGAAATCTTCCATAAATAGAACTGTGTCTCTTTAGACTGAACATATGGATCTGGAAACCAAGGGGCATAAATGGAGTTGGTACGTCTTACCTTTGCACCTAATAGTTCATTTTGTATCTCCAAAACTTAGGGTTTGGTTGGTTAAAACATTTTGATAGCAAAGAGGAACATTTCAAAAGGAGACATAAATATGGCACCACATAATCCAGTGTGCCTGCCACCTTTCCATTTTGAACTCTCATATCTCTGAGCAAATGGGCAACAAAAGAAGCAATCATGTTGGCCAGGGAGATGTATCCTGAGTGTCATAAAGACATAAGGTTGTTGCTACAGAGTGGAGGAAGGAAGGAGTGTGGAACAATGAGTTGCTACTAATGTTGTTTTCAGTGTATTAGATATACAAAAACCTAATACTGGCAGGACTTTCAAAGACTCAGACTTCTTATTTAAAATGACTTGGGTTATCCCCATCTTTTGAAGACCTTTGAATAGCCAAAGTACTGATAGATGGCAAAGGACAATAGTGGAAACAATATTCCACAAACAGATCATCAATACCAGCTATAGCCTGGTAACTAATTACATATATTTTTTTTGTCTTTTCTACTGTTCCCTTTCTATTTTATACAACATGTCATGGTGGTTAAATTATGATTTTGTTCATAGGTTAGCATGTGAAGACACTAATATGAGGGAACTAGGAGAAAAAAATGAACATTACTTAAAGATTCTGGATTTAGAACTAGATTCAGTAATATTTATACTTTGGACTTTCCACTCCTTGAAAATAAGATTCTTAATGCTTGAAGAATAACTGCACTATGTTACATGGGATATCTTATTGCTATTCTTGTTGCATCTAAAACACTTATGTGATGATATAGGGCTGTCTAGAAGGTAATGGATATCTATCATCATTTGCCTTTATTTGCTTAAACACTACATTATGCATCCCAACTCTTCCACATAGATGTCTGAATGCAAATTTTACTCTCAAATATCAGTCCTACTCATAGCTAAAAGTGTGACCATGGCTCTGATGATGAGGCACATATATATAAGATTTCATTCTAGGGGTAAGGCTGTGAAGAGGAGCTTTTATTTTGCTGTTGCAGATATTGGTGGAAATACCTGGCTTTGAGGGTGGCATTGGTTGAAAGACAGGTTTCATGAAGGTGCTGGCAGTAGATACAGTTGCCATAAAATTCAATTCATATTTAGTATTTGGTGGTAGCAATGGCAGCAGCAACAGTAGTAGCAACAACGTTTATCTCATCAGCCCAGTTCTGTGGTACAGTTTTAGGCATTTTCCTTGAAATTTAACCTTAATACTCTTTTTCCACTTATACCAAAATTTCTTGAGCTATCTAATATTCTTTCCTAAATTCTTTTCTTGCTTAAATTAACTACAGTGCATTCTATCATTTGCAACAAAGAACTCTGATCAAAATATGTTTACCTGTAAGAAATCTATTTCTGAAATCTCCACTAATTTATTCAATAAATATGTGTTGGCTATCTACTGTATGTAAGGTGACATCATTTGATCACAAAAAGGAATTAACATAAATTTCTTCTTGAGTAGGTTGGAAGTAATGGAAACCTAACTGAGCTAGGATGCTAGATTACTATTGCAGAACGAAAATAGCATGAGTATTATGGCAGGCCCAGGAATGAAATCAGCAATCCTAAGAATTAACTTAAAAGTAACAAGTTAAACAGTGTCCTGATCAGACCAGACAGTCAGAAAGATCACAGACATACAGTGTGAAATCTGAACATCAGATGCACATCAAGCCATGTCCTGGTGTGTCTGGAATTGGTGGGTTCTTGGTCTCACTGACTTCAAGAATGAAGCCGCGGACGCTCGCCGTGAGTGTTACAGTTCTTAAAGGCAGCGTGTCCGGAGTTTGCTCCTTCTGATGTTCAGATTTGTTCGGAGTTTCTTCCTTCTGGTGGGTTCGTGGTCTCGTTGGCTCAGGAGTGAAACTACAGACCTTCACGGTGAGTGTTACAGCTCTTAAGGTGGCGCATCTGGAGTTGTTAGTTCCTCCCGGTGGGCTCGTGATCTCACTGGCTTCAGGAGTGAAGCTGCAGACCTTCACAGTGAGTGTTACAACTCATAAAGGCAGTGTGGACCCAAAGAGTGAGTAGCAGCAAGATTTATTGCAAAGAGTGAAAGAACAAAGCTTCCACAGTGTGGAAGGGGACGGGAGCTGGTTGCCACTGCTGGCTCGGGCAGCCTGCCTTTATTCTCTTATCTGGCCCCACCCACATCCTGCTGATTGGTAGAGCCCAGTGGTCTGTTTTGACAGGGCGCTGATTGGTGCGTTTACAATCCCTGAGCTAGACACAAAGGTTCTCCCCTTCCCCACCAGATTAGCTAGATACAGAGTGTCAATTGGTGCATTCACAAACCCTGAGCTAGATACAGGGTGCTGATTGGTGTGTTTACAAACCTCGAGCTAGATACAGAGTGCCAGTGGTGTATTTACAATCCCTGGGCTAGACATAAAGGTTCTCCACCTCCCCACCAGACTCAGGAGCCCAGTTGGCTTCACCCGGTGGATCCCGCACTGGGGCTGCAGGTGGAGCTGTCTGCCAGTCCCCTGCCGTGTGCCCGCGCTCCTCAGCCCTTGGGTGGTCGATGGGACTGGGTGCCATGGAGCAGGGGGCGGCGCTCATCGGGGAGGCTCCGGGCCGGCCGCACAGGAGCCCACGGAGGGGGTGGGAGGCGCAAGCATGGCGGGCTGCAGGTCCTGAGCCCTGCCCCAGGGGAAGGCAGTTAAGGCCCGGTGAGAAATCGAGCGCAGCGCTGGTGGGCTGGCACTGCTGGGGGACCCACTACACCCTCCGCAGCCGCTGGCCTGGGTGCTAAGCCCGTCATTGCCCGGGGTCGGCAGGGCCCGCCGGCTGCTCCCAGTGCAGGGCCTGCCAAGCCCACGCCCACCGGAACTCCAGCTGGCCCGCAAGCGCCGCGCGCAGCCCGGGTTCCTGCTCGCGCCTCTCCCTCCACACCTCCCTGCAAGCTGGGGGAGCGGGCTCCGGCCTTGGCCAGCCCAGAAAGGGGCTCCCACAGTGCAGCCGTGGGCTGAAGGGCTCCTCAAGTGCCGCCAAAGTGGGAGCCCAGGCAGAGGAGGCCCCGAGAGCGAGCGAGGGCTGTGAGGACTGCCAGCACGCTGTCACCTCTCACTGGGACACCAGGTAGGGAAGACTGCAATCTGAAGCTCCAGCAGGCGACAAGGGTGCAGAACATCTGATTATACCCCCAGAAATTGAGAAGCCCTGAAATCTGGAAAAGACCTCTGGATGGTAGGAGGGATAAGAGATGGGCAGACTGGCCATTTGCTGGCTAGTCCCATAGAAGTGACAGAAACAATCACTGAAACGCTGGGAGCCTCAGCCACTAGAAAGAGAGCCTGAAGAGACAGTTTAAAGTTTGTTAGTTAATGGATTGAGAAGTACTGATAAAGCTCCTCTGTGTCCAAAGACGGATCTTGTCCAAATTTCACAAAATCAGGAGCTTATTGATAGTAGCTAGGACTTGTACAAAGCTCCCCTGCTGGGTACTAAGGAGAATTAAAAGAAAATTATCTCCATTTTTAGCTTTACTTATATAATTTTATTTGAGGATCATTTTTCACATATAATATTTAATTGCCTATGTCTATTCCAATTGGCTAAACACATAACGATTTTTTAAAAATTGTAAATTGACAATTTATAATTATAGAAATATATGGTGTACAAAATGATGTTATGATTTATGAATACAATGTGGAATAGTTATATCAAGTTAGTTACTGTACCCATCACCTCAAAGAGTTAAGATTTTTTGTAGTGAGAACATGTAAAATTTACTCTTAGCAATTGTGGAATTTATAGTACTCTATTATTAACTATTTTCACCGCTCTGTGCAATGAAACTAAAAAACAAAAAATCCCTCCTGTCCGAAATTTTGTACCCTTCCATCATCATCTCCCCTTTTTCCCTACCCCTCAACCTTTGTAACCACCACCATTCTACTCTCTGCTTTTAGGAGTTTGATTGTTTTAGATTCCACATACAAGTAAGAATATGTGGTATTTGTCTTTATGTGCCTGGCTTATTTTGCTTACCCTAATGTTTTTCCAGTTCCATCCATGTCGTCACAAATGACAGTTTCTTTCTTTTCAAAGTCTGGATGGTATTCCATTGTTTACATATTCCACATTTTCTTTATCCGTTTACCTGTTGCTGGGCCCTTAGTTTGATTCCATAATTTGGCTATTGTAAATAGGGCTGCAATGACATGGGAGTGCAGACATCCCTTCAGTAAACTGATTTCAAATCTCTGGGGGTAAATACCCAGAAGTGGCATTGTTGGATCATGAGTAATTTCTTTTTGAAGTGTCTCTGTTTATACCCCTCTCTCTTTACATCCTTCCTTTAATAACCATTTTATTTTGAAATAATTTTAGATTTACAGAAAAGAACTACAAAGTTAACACACAGGTTGTCTACATATTTCTTATGCAGTCTTCCCTAATGTTAACATCCTTCATTTACCATATTTATTAAAACTTGAAAAGCAATATTAAACCATTCTCATTAATTAAACTTGACTTAATTTATACTTCACCAGTTTTTATATTAATGCTATTTTTCTGCTGTAGGATCTAATTCAGTATACCATATTATGTTTAATTATCGTTCAGTTTTTCCTGGCCAGTAACAATTTCCCAATCTTTCCTTGTTTTTCATGGCCTTGAAAGTTTGGAGGGGTACTTGTCAGGTGTTTTGTAGAATTCTCCTCTATTTGTTTTGTCTGGTGTATTTCTCATGGTTAGACTGGGTTGTGGTTTTTTGTGTGTGTGTGAGAATATCACTGTGATAAGATGCCCTTATCACATGATATTTAGGGGCATATGATATGAAGATGACATCACTGGTGGTGTTAATCTTGATCACTTAATTAAGGTTAAGGTGTCTGCCAGGTATCCCCACTGTAAAGTGACTACTTTTTCTTTGATTATACTCTATTCTTTGGAAATGAATTAGTAAGTTCAACCCACACTGAATTCCCCACTTTCCCAACTTTAACAGAACTCAAAATCAAGATTCATTTTGATTTCTGAAAGTTAGATTAATATATCACTAAAAAGGAAGAAAAATTATATTTTAAAATAAACTATATTAGAATTCTACTTATTGAAATTAAGATTTAATATGGTGGGTTATCCATTATGTTTTGGATAATTTCGTGTATCATTTTATTATATAGACAAAGAAAGTATAATTTTATTAATTATTTTGCTTCTCCAAGAAAAGTACAGTAGATTTGTCACTGTTGCTTTCTTATTTTGAAATATGAGGATCAATTTTTTTTTTCTTTAGATGGAGTCTTGTTTGGTCACCCAGGCTGGAGTGTAGTGATGCCATCTTAGCTCACTGCAACCTTGGTCTCCCGGGTTCAAGTAATTCTCCTGCCTCAGCCTCCCAAGTAGCTGGGATTATAGGCACCCACCACACCTGGTTAATTTTTGTAGTTTTAGTAGAGACGGGGTTTCACCATGTTGACCAGGGTGGTCTTGAACTCCTAACCTCAGGTAATCTGCCTGCTTCAGCCTCCCAAAGTGCTGGGATTATAGGCGTGAGCCACTGCGCCTGGCTGAGAATCAACTGTTTTAAGGCCTATTCTAAAATATATTTCTGGAAAGTTAATTTGGGAAAATATAAACCTCAAATGGAATTCAAAGCTTAGTTTTGAATTAATAGAGATTCCATAATTACATTAATTTTTTCCTCACTAGATACAGTTCTTATTTTCTCTAAGAGTTTCAAAAAACTTCACAGTGTGGAAAATACTGTTAACAGTAATATGAGACTAATTAGAAGTAAAAGTGATCTAAATTTAGAGATATTAAGTTATAGCTTGTATTATCAGAAGGGGAGAACAATGATATTGACTTGAAATCTTGTGACCATTTTATGCTTAATTACATTCAAATTGGTTTTAATTTTGATTAATTTGATATTATCACTGAACATGAAGTCCATTTATTAATGTCATCATTTTTCTTTAGCTTTCTCCGTCAAAATTGTAGTTTTTCAAAAGTGATGCATAATTTTAATGTTTCTTATTACTGATGATAAGATTTAGACTAGCATATTTCCTTGCAAAATCTGTTTTGCCCATTCTAAATTGGAGGAAAACTGCAAGCTCTTTAGTTGTTGAAAATACGTGTCAAACCATTTTCTAAGCTACATTTTAATTTAACCAACACCAAGAGCTCAAAGAAATTAAACTTCAAAAATAATTTACATAGTTTAAAATGATTTGTTATTAACATTCACCAATGTTAAAAAAATTAAATTGAAGGAAAATTTTAAAAAAACACTTAATGAGAAAGGCATTACTATAGTTGGATGTTTGTCCTCCAAAAACCTCACATTGAATTTTTTTCCCCAGTGTTGGAGGTGGATGCCTCATGGGAGATGTGTTGGTCATGAGGTTGGAACTTTCATGAATGGCTTGGTACTGTCCTCATGAGAATGAGGGTGTACTCACACTATTAATTTTAACTACGGCTGGTTGTTAAAAAGAGCCTGGAACCTCCCTCCCCTCTCTCTTGCTTCCTATCTCATCATGTGATCTCTGCACACATTGGCTCCTCTGTACCTTCTACCATGAGTGGAAATAGCCCAACACCCTCATCAGAAGCAAATGCTGGTGCCATGCATCTTGTACATTCTGCAGAATTGTGAACCCAATAAACCTCTTATCTTTATAAACTACCCAGCCTCAGATATTCCTTTATAGCAACACTAAACCAACTATGGTAGACATAAAAATAAATTTAGGAAAAATATTTATTTTCATATCAATAGAGCCATAATGAGTTATAATTATTATATTCTTTAACAACTTTCCAACTTGTACATACATTATAAACAAAAAGGAAAGAAGTAAATTTCTCTTTAAAGAGAGAATACATAAACACTCCCTTGGTTATGTATAGGAAAATGTATATATGCAGCTAAACAACAGTTAGTTGTTTAAGAGAGTATGGAAAGATATCAAAAGATTTCACTGTAATTCAAATTAAGTGTACAGAATAATTGGTATAGGAATTTAGAGAGACAGACCACTTCAGACAAGATTGGTCTGGAATGGTGTGCTTTTTACTGGGCGGTCTAAGTATTTGATTCTGAATGTGCTTTCTTCAGCTAGAATAGGGAAACAGGCATCTATTATGGCTGAATTTTAACACTTTTTGTGTAAAAATATACATAGATTGGAAACTTCAATTTTTAAATATCAATGTAAATGTGAAATAGACATTAAAGTACTATGATTTTAGTTGCCATTAATTTAAATAAAGAGGTAAAATCTGAGGCGTTTAGAAACAGAGTAAAGATTTGACTCTATAGGGTGGAAGATCTCTAACTACTGAGTATTCTGGGCATGTGTAACAAAAAGTTCTGGGGTTACTTATGACCTTAGGAGCAAATAAGTCTGTGGAAACAGAGGCATCATATAAGGAAATAGTTGGCAATGAGGCCAGAAACTTGAAATGTTTTTTGAGGTCAAAGATGAAAGACCTCACATATTCAGACTAATTTGAGGCATAAGAGTAAAAGTTTATGGATCAAGTTTTGGAAGAAACAGATAACATGGAAGAAAAATACAAAGATGAGATAATAAAGAATGACAGTGTCTCTCAGTTTCCTGACATGTGTCCATCAGTTGTCATGGGGCATCTTTCCGTGGAACTTCCACCCCAGCCAGAGGCCTATCATTCTAATATAGTCTTCCAAGGCCAGTTGTATAAAGAGGTGAACGTAATATATGAATTGTCTAATTGACAAATGTGTGAATTATCTCTACCAAGATGATTCATGGCTATCTGAAATGCCAAAATCAAAGATTCCTTTAGTTTGAAATGAAAATACAAATGCATTTGAGAAGGTAATCAATTCAGGCATATCTGTTACTTGCACCTTAGTGTGAATTCTTTCTAGAAAAACTTTTCCTAAAGAATAAGATTAGATGGTATGAAAGAGAAGGCATGGGGCAAAGAGGGTTAGGTGGTTACAGCCTATTGGTATCAACTAATTCTTCTGCTAATTGCATGTGGGTAAAGACATAAAAAGAAACGTTCATGTTGGGGAATGAAATATAAAGGATTATTCTGATCCTAATCATACTACCTCAGTTTCATCTGGATCTGGCCAAGCACCTCTTTCCTGAAATTAACTTGCTGGACAGCTCTTCTTGTAGCAAATGTATCATGGGATAACCAGTTGAGTGATTTCAGGATTAAACTAATCAGATATCTGCTCCCTGAAATGAAGATCTTGAAGAATTGCCAGAATGATGAAGAGAAGTTTTCGTTGTATTGCCAGATTGTCTTTTTCATTTATTCATCTTTATATGAGAAGGGCTGCCAATATTCTCTTTCTAGTACCCTGGGTTTAAAAGTCACTTTCAGAGAGTAATCTTGGGAACTCTGTTATTTATTCTAAATATAGCCTTGAACCTTAAAGATTCACCTTGCTTTTCATTAGAAAACCTGGCATCTTGTTTTAAACGTGTTTTTCTTGGATATGATAGATAAGCAGACAAAGAATTATGTATGAGTTCTGAGACTTCTTGACCAAATGTATTTTGAAACATTCATTTTAAAAATATCAGTGCTATCTGGAAACATAAAATGGTCAGTGAGATGTTGAAGTAAAAGAGTTTCCATTATTATCTATTCAAAAATACAGCTCTTAGTCAAGGCCTGGGATGATTTATGCAACTATTAAAAATTACACATGGTCTTATTTTGTTAGTTTCTGGTTGTTATGAATTTGATTTTGCCCATGTTTGGTCAAGTTGACAAGTTTCTAAGAATTCTTTGACATTCCATGCTTAATGCTTGTTAGGGGCCTGCCAAGTCACTGAGCACACAAGGCTGCTCGTGGCAAAGCATTTGCTTCAATATTTAGCATCATATTCTCAAATGGACCAGAAGGACCAGCTGGAGAACACACGATACTTGTGGCAGATATTTTAGGCAGCTTCGCAAGGATAAAAACTTAACTGGCTATAGTGTGATCAATGATGAGATAGCTAAACTGATACAGGTATAATCTAAGTAGGGCCTAAATGAAACCCTTTATCAGCTTTCTATGGCCGCTATAAGGCAGTATAAAAATAAAAAGTATTTACTTAGCTTCCAAGACTGCAGATCAATGGTTAGTATTGCCTCAGCTGGGCAGTTCTCTGTATTATGACTGGGCTTGCTCACATGTCTGGGTATCAGCAGGAGTGATTAGGCCACAGAGCTGCCACAAATCTCTTATCCTCTAGCCTAATAGACTGGACATGTTCTCACAGTGAATGTAGAGAAGGGAGCGTGAGCACAGGAAGATACACATGGCCTCTTGAAATCTAGGCTCAGAAACTAGCACAGTATTGACTTCTAAAATATTTAACTTACTACAACAAGTCAAAAAACTAGTCCATATTCATGGAATGATTACTTTTCTCTTGCTTGGAGAGCTTGCAAAAAAGTTCTAAACTGGGATCATTCATGCAATAAATCTACCACCAAGCCTTTAACTCCAAGGTCTGAATATTTTATTCCCAAGCTTCCATGTGGCTCCAAGTCTGTCCAGGTGATTCTAAACTAAGATAATCCAGGCCAGACTCGCCTAAGGACATGAGAATTGATTGCTGGTTATTCTCAGTCCAGAGGAGATAAGCAGGTACAATTTTTAGATTTACAATGGTGATAGATAATAACCAGAGACAACCTGAGATTTATGAGTGTGCTATCATGATGGACATGAGTAGTATGACATTTATTAAATAAAATTTAAAGTTGAGCATCATGAAAATATGTTGATCTTTTTAAAGAAGCTTGTTAAAAAGAAAAATTAAAAATTGTGTTATTCTTTGTATTCTTGTAATGCTGTTACACTTGAGAGATTCATTTTTCAAAAAATGTTTATTGAGTGCCTTTTTATATGTCAAGCAGTGCTTGCCACTAAAGACATAAAGTCAAATGAAGGGATAGGGAAGAGAATTGTCAGTGACCCAAATTAACGAGGCGCTGGATATATCCAGGGATCGGCCCTGCTTTCCATTTCTCTTTAGTTTTGTTATCATATACTCTGTCCCACTAGCATGTGTTCTCTCCCAGCTGCAGTAATTGGCTCAAGGATGGATATGTGACACAGGACATCAATTAATGTCTTTTCCATATGCTTTTCCAGAAGCAGCTGGATGGTAAGATACCTTGTTATCTTGGTTGGATCTCATAGGATTCAGTCTCAGAACTGTCAATACATGATTTCTGCCTCACAGAGAAAGCTGTCTGCAGGAGAAAATAATGGCACCTATGCTCTACATGAAGCAGAGATGAAAGTGGTAGTAAGGAATGTCCTGAAAAACTTTGAGTCTGTGAATCCACAATATTTTGAGATCAGTCTCACTTCTTTATTATTTGGTTGCAACTGCCAAAGAAATCTTTCTTTTTGAATGAAGATGGTTTGAACTGACTTTCTTTCGCTTGCAAACCAAAGGTCCTGACTAATCATGGAAACTATTAATAGCATCCAGTAAGCATGTTTACAATAATTATAATAGTTTGAACAGAAAAATATCACCTTCTGATTGGATAACGTCTGGTAGAATACCTGACACATGACGATGATGATGATGATGATGATGATGATGATGATAGAAAGAAACAGGAGGAGAAGAGCAGTAGGAGAAAAACATCAACAATAATCTAGCTAATGTATACTGATTTTCTAATTTATACCAAGTATTATTTTTCTTAATATGTTACATATTACTTGTATTAACTTTTTTAACCTTACAGCACCCCAAGAGATGTGTGCTATTTGTATTCCACATTTACAGAAGATGAAATTGACATAGAAGTTACATAACTCACCCAAGCCACATGACTAGTGAGAGAGGTAAAGCTAATTTTCACTTAAACAGACTCTCAAGAAATGTTTGTTGATGGAAGGAAAGAATGAAAAAGCCCACAAGGACACATAATTATACTGCAGTGTGATAAATGTAACACTTAATCTTCAAAATATCACTATAAAAATCTTATTCTTACTTCATAAATGTGGAAATTGAGCTTTTAGAGAATTTAGCAGGTCTCTATAAACCTTCAAAAGTCTAGAAAGTGGTGAAGTTGGGATATATATCCACGTTTACTCTAAAGCGCCCTTGGATACTTTTGCATAAAATGAGTCCCTAAGAAGGGAACTGCCTTTATAAGAGACTTTAAATTCTTTTTTATTTACCCAGTTTTGGAGATTTCTACCTACAAGTTTTCCATAACTATTTCTTTACATTTTGTGTTGTTAACATGCCTGAATATTACATCCTTTTCAAATGGATTATTTCTATCTTTTTGCAGGATCTTTATCTAAATCAGAGCATTAAAGCATGGTAATGCATACTTCTTCCCATTTTAAACCAAATCACTCAACAAAACTCCCATAAACATTTTAGAAGATTATTGTTATTGGTCATTTTTACTGATACAATGGAGGGCACAAGGCATTTCTGACCAGGGTGATAATTATAAACCATTACCAGCAACTAATATAATTATAAATTCCAAAAGGTCCTCTTCCCAGAAACGCCATCTTCAATCTCTTTTGATTCCAAGTAAAGAAATCTTTATAGCAAAGAAGACAACCTGGAAAAGAAGTCCATCAACCAGCTATGTATTCAACTGATCTTGCTAGTTGCTATTCCTTTCACTGACTCATCTATTTTCTTAATAGAATTGTGTGGTTAAAGGATCAAGCACACATCTGCGGACGGCTTATTTTAGCCATCCCATTATTGAGCTCTTCCTTAGTTTAGGTATTGTTTTGTGTTGACTTCATATCAACTCATTAAGCTATTGGGTGAACTCTAATACTGTAGTACATTTTCAACACAAAAAGCTGTTGTCTCTGCCAGATATTTTATTTCTAATATCTACACAATATTTATTTTTAACTTATTTAACAGTGTTATTACAAATTGCAGCTTGCATTTCTGATTCTTTTCCCCAAATAAATCTTTGAAAATAAATCAGTATGCTATTTCCAAAGCTTACATCATACAACCCTGACATTTGAGTGATTGAAAAAATGTGTCTTGGAAATATTTCCAGTGTCTTTTCAGTCAAAGTTTCATAACCTAGTCCCTATATGGGCAGTCGCTGACTTCTTTGCATCTTTCCTTTTTTATAAATCTACAGTTTTTTTAAGGTTCTGTAATCTGTTTTTCAATATCAAATGAGAGAAAGAAGTAAAGATGCTCTAACATGTCAAAGAATAGAATACTTTGATTATTGTCTTTCGAAGGATTTTTCTTGTCCAGGCCTTTTGGAGGAGTCAGTGGATACCAGATAGCATCCAGTGGAAATTTTTCTTTTTCTTGATTTTTTTATTACTGCATTTTCCTCTTTCCCCTTTTATATATTATTTTTTCTCCTCTCAGGAGTTTCTAATTCTTCCTTCTTTCCCATCTAAATTATAATAATTTAGATGCCCTGGGTTTTTCTCCCTTAAACTCCATTCCGTATTTCATTCCTCTTACCTTCCTTATATCCATAACTTTAGTACCAACATTTTATTCTAATTTGCTTACTTGTGCCCAGTTTTGTTCTGTCATTACTACAGGGATTTTCTTGCCCATTCTCTTCCTTGGTAATTTTCTATGGAGTCATCATAGTATGCACTTTAAATTATAAGTAACTTATCAATTAGGTATTATTTGTAAAGAAACCGGAGGACAATGGCCTGGATAATGTCACAGATAATGCCAGAGCCAGGTCCAGACATTAGAATCCAGATCCAACTTTTAGTCCAAGGTTGTCTCATCCACACTGTAGGTTCCCATTCTATGAAAGGGTGAGCTGTGAGATCTTGAGCCCTAACTTTATTTTACCTTTATGTCAGTTCATAACAGTAGGCTCCATATTTAATAGGGAGGCTTATATTTAATAAGATATAAAATTTTGTCTTCAGGTCTTCCCATTTTAAGTATTATTTCCCACACGATACTGAAGAAGACGAAAGAAGATGAAAGAAGCCCAACTGCATTGGGTCAAGCGTTTGACTTAGTAAATTTTTCCAAGTTAGCATGATGATGTGCAAACCCTCCAAGATTCTTTCTTTAATAAATAGCATACCACAACTGATGATAAATGTTCAGACACTCAATCATCTTAGGAATCAAATTGCTCTCAATTTGATGGACTTTTATTCTTTCAGTGATCAGAATATTCTCTTTTTCCCCTGGAATCATCTTATGCCAAAGAAATTTTGAAGGGTTATCTTTGGACTCAGATGGAATTAGAAGACCTCTGCTTTGTTCATTATGTCTCAGACAAGTTTAAAAATAGTACATACTTGGTTAATAAAACTGCACTGATAAAAGAGCATATGGGTATAGTAGTGGGTTCTAGGAATAGCACTTATGTGTAACTATCTTTCCTTAACAAGGAATTATAATTTCTACATATGCAGACATATCCTGCACATTTTGGGCAATATGCTTCCACTTTTGTAAGCACATAATGTCATTGAGTACACATGGACACAAAGAGGGGAACAACTGACACCAGGACCTACTTGAGGGCGGAGGGTGAGAGGAGAGCGTGAGGATTGAAAAAATACTGGGTACTATGCTCACAACCTGGGTGACAAAATCATTTGTACACCAGAACCCTGCAACATGCAGTTTACTCTTGTAACAAACCAGCACATGTACGCCCAACCTAAAATAAAAGTTGTGAAAAAAAAAAAAAAGGATCATGATGTCACATGAAACCATGGGAACAAAACAGAATCAATTTATAATTTTAGTCAGCTATAATTCCTTAATATATTCCTGATGTTTGATTCCTAAAACATCATTAAACTGTCTGGATAGAATACAATTACTGATCTTCCCTATTTTAGGGACTGAATTCCTCATTTTAACAACAGCAACACAAATCTAATTCTCCCTCTTGAGTTATTGCAAAAAGATACTTTTGCAAGTACAGGGGAGAAACCTTCTTTGAACTAATTTTTGTTCTATATTTGAATATAATCAAATTGACAAGTGATGTATTTGACGTTGTGGGCTTGGTCATCATTGAATAAACTTCTACATTACTGAAAAAAGAAATCCAGGTGGCTTTCTTCTCCCTATTTCCACAGTATCTTCAGTGGCAAGTACTTTCTTCCTTTCTGCAGTGCTCCAGCTCCAGCATACCTAATTTGGTTCAATAACAAAAATTAAATGGGTTTACCTATCTACCTAATATTTTGAAATTGTTTGTGTACCTATATATGTGTAGGTATGTAGGATACATGTATGTAATATATAATATATATATAAAATCAATTATCAGTGAATTTTTCTGCGATCTTGGCACAAGCTTCAAGTAAAATCATACATTCTAGGCAAGTCTTGTGGCCCCATGTTTGTGGCAGAGAGGAGTAACCATGGGCATTTGAGGACAGACCTGGGTTGAAATCTCTTCTCTGGCACTCATAAATTAGATAGCTTTAAGCAAGTGTGATAGTTAATTTATGTGACAACTTGACTTGGCCTTGTGGTGTCCAGATATTAGCTCACACATTATTCTGGGGTTTCTGTGAAGGTGTTTTGAGATGAGCTTAACATTTAAATTGGCAGATTTAGTAAAGCAGCTTGTCTTCCATAGTGTGAGTGGGCCTTATCTGAAGGTTTGAATAGAACAAAAAGGCTGACCCTCCCTAATTAAGAGGGGTTTTCTTCTGATTGATTGATGTAGAGTTGGCACATCAAGTTTTTCCTGCCTGTAGATTTAAATGGAAACATTGGTTATTCTAACATCTTCAGCCTGCTAGACTTTGGACTGGAAGTATACCGTTGGGTTTCCTGGTTCTCAGACCTTCTAACTCAGATGAGAAGTACACCATCAGCTCTTCTGGGTCTCCAGCATGTCAACTGCAGATCTTGGGACTTGTAATCCTTCCATAAACACATAATCACGACTTCCAACATAACACTTCCAACTTCCATAATTACATAATTATATGAACAGATTTCCTATAATCTCTCTCTCTCTGTATATCCCATTGGTTCCTTTTCTCTGGGAAGTCTTGACTAATAAAGCAGATTATTCCATTTTTTGCAACCTTGATTTCATTACATATGAAACAGTTAATATTACCCATTTGTAAGATTGTTGTAAGGTTTACGGAATCACGAGTGTAGAGCATCTTGCATAAGGTAGATATTCATTAAATCATAGCTGTTATTGTAGAGATA
Organism: Homo sapiens; assembly: GCF_000001405.40. NCBI lineage: Eukaryota > Metazoa > Chordata > Mammalia > Primates > Hominidae > Homo > Homo sapiens. The sequence goes on from NC_000013.11 coordinate 80,503,240, forward strand.
ATTTTGCAGAACACAGAGCTTTCTTTAGACTTTCTTTTTGTTTATTTACCTTTTACTTTTTCTAAAATAAAAATAACAACTTCTGCTGCTAAGGAGAACAAACAAAATCCAAGACCCCTCTTCCCTTCTCTTAAAGTCCTAGAACATGAAGGAAATTCAGTGGGAAAGATAGATACAGAGAACTAGGGGAAGATGGCAAGATAAGCTCCCCCAATACTTAAAAAAGCTGTTCAACAAAAACTGTGATAAATACAGGCAAATGCAAGACAAGTAAGAACAGGGAGCGGCAGTGACAAGAAACTGTGTTATAGATGTGGTCTCCCTTTTCTTTCTTTTCTCATCAGCGTATTCTAGGCCCAAGGCACAACTTGCCTGTTCTAGAAATAAGTGTTGACTCCTTTGAGTCTCCTTCTATGTTTCACGAGAGGCAGTGTATAAGGTGCAACCATTCTTTCCCACATATTTCAGAAAAGAAAGGAGACAGTGCTAACTTTGCCTTCTACACACACAGTTTGTTGAACTTGTAAGGAGAATGAAACTGAGCCAGGGGGTGTCACTGCTTCTTATCTCTTCCAAGGCAGCAGAAATACCTCCAAATCTGCATGAGGCAAGAAAGCAATCTAACTGAGATGGAGGCACCAGCCCAATCTGCCTCACAAGCTAAAGTTGTGTGGTTTATTCCAGCCATTAACACATTTTAAGAACCTTTCTTTGTGTCTTACAAAGATGGAATTTAAGGAGACATGAAGAAGGTCATGGCAGTAGGGTGGGAGGGAGGATCGAATCTGCTGTCAAGAACGATGGTATAGGTAGTTCAGAGTCACTTTGTATCAATGTCTTAGAAATATAGCTTTGAGGCACCAAAGAATAAAATTTCAGAAGCCTTTGATTCCTTGGCAGAAGATAACAGGACAGAGAGCAATCAAACGATGTTTATTAAGAGTGGGAGTCTCCACCTGTCTTCAAGAGTACCTCCTCCCCTGCCATCTGGAGGTGGCCATTGGCAGGTATTCTGCGGGGGCTGGAATTCCCTGACTGGATTGGTCCACACAAATGGCCCCTTAAACCAATAAACGAAAATGGCAAAACTTCAAAAGACCACAAAATGAAAAATAGTTCCTCTGTCATGTAAAAAATTCACAGGTTGGCTGGAAGAAGAATGGAAACTTAATGCCCTAATCTTGAAGGAGATAGTTCTAGTTAGTCCAATTATTGTTTTCATTTCAAACTTCGAAAGAACTTCCTGCAATTAACTTCCTTTTCATTTCTCAGAGTACTGTTCATATTTTGACGTTGTCCCTTTAAAAAGTTCTGGTCAAAATTATTTCTTACAACATTCTTTCACTCTAATGCCCATTGGGAATACTCTTGATTTCCATTTCCTGTCTCCCCAGGCTCTAACTTCTTTGGACTCTACCACTTATAATTGCCAAACCTGGCCTTTCCTCTATGTAACACACATTTTTAGCCTTGGACAGCGGGAGCGGTAGTCATGAGAATTTGAGTCTTTTAGGCTTGAAGTCAGGATCCAGAGATATGGTTGTAAGTTGTAAGTAGGTGAGCTATTTTGGGTCAGATGGGTTATGTCAGATACTGAGTGGAGGGCTATGCACTATTAATTCCTCTGAGTTGTGCTCTTTTGCAGTCAAATTTTTTCTTTATCTTTCTTGACCACTCCTCCCTTACCACGGCAAGGACACACACAATTTTCTATTCTGCCATTTTTTTTGCTAACTTGTCATGTTATGTGTATATGTGCAGCAATGTTGTGCTATGAGTCATCTTTTGACAAGTTCTCAACCTCTCTTCTTCCATTTCATCAACTTTTTTTGACGCAGCCTTCAATTATTATTTTCATTTAAAAAATTTATTTAGGGAGTACATGTGCATGTTTGTTACGAAAATATATTGTGTAATGCTGAGATTTGAAGAATGAATGAATCAGTCTCCAAGGTAGTGAGCCTAGTCACCCAATGGTAGTTTTTCAGCCATTACCCTCTTCTTGTATTCCCTAGTGTCTATTGTTTTCATCTTTGTGTCCATATGTCCTTGATGTTTCCCTCCTACTTATAAGTGCGAACATGTGGTATTTGATTTTCTGTTCCTGCATTAACTCTCTTGGGATAATGTCTTCCAGCTGCATCTATGTTGCTGCAAAGGATAAGATGTTGTTTTTTTTTTTTTTTATGCCTGCATAGTATTCTATGGTATATGTGTACCACGTTTTCTTTGACTAATACAGAGCTGATGAGTACCTGGGTTGATTCCATGTCTTTGCTATTGTGAATACTGCTGCAATGAATATATGTGTGCATGTCTTTATGGTAGAATGACTTATTTTCCTTTGGGTATATACCCAGTAGTAGAAGTGCTGGCTTAAATAGTAGCTCAACTCTTAGTTCTTTGAGAAATATTCAAACTGTTCTCAACAGTATCTGGACTAATCTGCATTCCCACTAGCAGTGTATAAGTGTTGCTGCAGCATCTGTTTTTTTGACTTTTTAACAAAGACCATACTGACCAATGATGAGGTGGTATCTCACTGAGGTTTGATTTGCATTTCTCTGATAATTAGTGATGATGAGCATTTTTTCACGTTTGTTGGCTGCTTGTGTGTCTTCTTTTGAGAAGCGTCTGTTCATGTCCTTTGCCCATGTTTTAATAGGGTTATCTGGTTTTTGCTTGTTGAATTGTTTTTTATAGATTCTGAATATTAGAACTTTGTCAGATGCATTGTTTGTGAATATTTCCCCCCATTCTGTAGGTTGTCTGTTTACTCCTTTGATAGTGTCTCTTGCTGTGCAAAACCTCTTCAGAATTTAATTAGATCCCACTTGTCCATTTTTGTTTTAGTTACAGTTGCTTTTGAGGAGTTAGCCATAAATTATTTGCCAAGGCCAATATTGAGAAGGTTATTTCCTTTTAGGATTTTTATAGTTTGAGGTCTAACATTTAAGTCTTTAATTCATCTTGAGATAATTTTTGTATATGATGATAGGTAAGGGTCTAGTTTCATTCTTCTATATATGGATAGCCAGTTATCCTAGCATCATTCATTGAATAGGGAGTCTTTTTCCTATTGCTTATTTTCGTTTGTCGAAGATCAGTTGGTTGTAGGTGCATGGCTTTATTTCTGCATTCTCCATTCTGTTCCATTGGTCTATGTGTCTGTTTTTCTACTAGTACCATGCTGTTTTAGTTATGATAGGCTTGTAGTATCGTTTGAAGTCAGGTAATGTTATGCCTCTGGCCTTGTTTTCTTTTTGCTTAATATTTGCTTTGGCTATTTGGATTCTTATTTGGTTCTGCTTGAATTTTATAAATTTTGTAAATCTGTAGAAAATGGCATTGGAATTTGTTGAGAATAGCATTAAATCTGTAAATTTATTTGGGCAGTATGGCCATTCTAACAATATTGACTCTTCCTGTCCATGAGCATAGAATGTTTCTACACTTGTTTGTGTCATCTATGATTTCTTTCAGCAGTGTTATATAATTCTACTTCCTTGGTTAACTGTGTACCTGGGTATTTTATTCTTTTTGTGGCTATTATAAATGAGATTGTGTTCTTGATTTGACTCTCAGCTTGAACATTATTCATGTATAGAAATGCTACTATTTTTTGTACATTGATTTTGTATCCTGAAACTTTGCTGAAGTCATTTATCAGTTCCAGAAGACTTTTCGTGGAGTCTTTAGGGTTTTATAGGTATGAATTACATTATCTGTGCAGAGGGATAGTTTAACTTCTTTTCCTATTGGATGCTTTTTATTTCTTTCTCTTGCCTGATTGCTCTTGCTGGGACTTCCAGTACTATGTTGACTAGGAGTGGTGAGAGTGGGCATCCTTGTCTTATTCCACTTCTCAAGGAAAATGTTTCCAGCTTTTGCCCATTCCATATGATGTTGTCTGTGGGTTTGCTGTAGATGACTCTTATTATTTTGAGGTATGTTCTTTCCATGACTATTTTTGATGAGGATTTTTAACATGAAGAGATTGTTAATTTTATCAGAAGCTTATCCATATCTATTGATATCTATTGAGGTAATCATGTGGTTTTTGTTTTTAATTCTATTTATGTGGAGAATCACATTTATTGATTTGCATATGTGGAATCAACCTCTCATCCCAGGAATAAAACCTACTTGACCATGGCGAATTAGTTTTTTGATATGCTGCTGAATTCAGTTTGCTATATTTTGTTGAGGATTTTTGTGTCTATATTCATCAGAGTTATTGGTCTGAAGTTTTCTTTCTTTATTGCGTCTCTGCCACACTTCCTCCACTTTAAAGTGGTACTAATAACACTTACTTCTGGAACTATGCAGAAAATTAAATAACACTGTGTGTATGAAGTGTCTTGTGCTCTGCCTGGTACACATCAGTGTACTATAAATGGTAATTATCACTATTATGTGACTCAGATAGAATAGGTTATGCATTCTATGGTGAAGAGACAGAAGGAGAGTGTAGGCCAGGAATAGGTAGGGGAATGCCTATGTATATCTATCTATCTATCTATCTGTCTATCTATCTATCTATCTATCATCTATCTAACTATCTATCTAAAGATCAAACCAAGTTCAGAGATTGGACTTTCTGGCCAAACAAAGGCAGAAGGCAAAAAGTACTGGAGATAGTTTGTATGTATACAAATGGCTACAAGGGAGCAGAGTGAAGCGTAGTCCATTGATGGCAAGAAGGTGTCAAATCATGGGCAAAGCCCTGAAATATAACAAGCTAGAAAGCTTCAGCCAGAATATGAGGGACTATGGGCACTCAGACATAGGTTGTTTGTTCTCTGACTTGGTAGCAGCAGCCACTTAGTAAGGATGGATGTGGTTGCTTGTTACATGTGGGAATTGACCAGCTTTTTCTGGCTCACACAGCTAGCAAGATAATTAAAATTTGATCTCAGAACTTCTAAACACCAGTTAACTCTACAGAGCAAGCATTTCAACACATCCCAGATTTCTGAAATGCATGCTTTATGACAACTCTTCAGGAAACAGGAGATGTTTGAGCTAACTTGAATGGCATGCTCAGCAAAAGGCCACAAATAAGGGAGCACAGGATGGTTAGAGAAGTTGGAGGAGAGGGTGACTGCATGTAGGCACAAAATGGGTGTGATAGTGAACAACGAGCTTCAAAAAAGTGCAATTTGAAGTCTCTTTGATATAAAAATATGAATGTTACTTGAAGTCATGGAGTTTTTAAAGAGATCATTCGAATATTTTAAGAAGTGACATGATTAGATTTGTGTTTGAATATGTTGTGAATGAATTGAAAAGAAACTGGAGGCTAGTAGATCAGTTAGGATATATTTCAATACATGATTAAAAATGTAAATAAGGTCAATTTAGGAGGTTTTAGTGATGTTGCAGAGGAGGAAGAGCTTCAACAGACATTAAGGATATTTAATGCAGAGGGAGTGAGAAGGAGGGGTCATTAAGTGAGATAATAGGCACAGGAGAAGAAATAGCTTCTGCTACCAAGAGATTCTTGCCAGTTGGCTTGAGACCTGCTTTATCAGGAGAGTTTTGGCTGATGACATACACCTTGTTAGAACTTTGCCTAATATATATATTTCTGGGAAAAATCCAGTTCATGGCCTTTCTAATCTGTGAAGTAGAGGGATATCCTCATATCTTAGTGAATCATGGTGTATTTGTCTTTGCAATCTTTTTGCACTTGAATTGCATATTCTCTGAATCACTGTTTATATCTCTATATATGAAGAGTGTTGATGAACACTAAAGCATATTTGATGGAAAATCATAGTTACACAACAGTAATTTTTTTCTGATACTAAAGATGAAGCATTAAAAGTATTACTTTAATTAAATCAACAGGCCATCTCACCATATTGTAGCATGCCTATAGTTACCTGTTTAGTTTACATGTTCCATAAGTATTCTTTACAAAAAACCCAGCACCATCTACCATGATATGCCCAGAAAACTGATTATTTTTGTAGGTGTTGAAATGGATATACATTTAGCTTTGTCTTTATAAGTGTTTATGATGAAATGTTATAGAGTATTAAGCAATAAAACCCTTTATGGCATTTTTTCCTAAAATCTAATACAGCATGATACCGAACTTAATACCCTAATTGCAAACTAACAGGAGATGGTTTTACAATTACTTTAATGTTTGTAAGGTTGTGACTCATGAACAAATTACTTTCATGGTTGGATTGCATTAATACAAGACAGGGTGTGAATTTTTAAAACGGATCAACAAGATGGGACACATTTAGGTGTGGACATATTTACGTAATATGTTTAAATATGGGCATAAAGAAGCCGAAAAACAAATACATCCTTTGGCATGTTCGGTACTTAAAGAGGGATTTGTGCACTATTTTATTAATAAACATTTATGGAGATTGAATGAAAATTGGCATCAGGTAGGATCCTGGCAAGTAATTCTTTAGTAGAGCAAGTTGAAAGCTAGTGACACCTTAAATCCTTAAGAAAATATGGAATAAGGCCACTTGCAAATCCTTCATTTACAACAAATGGAATGTAAGCTCATTCCAAAGGTAAGCTCATTTGACCCTCAACAGTGGCAAATGAAATTAAAACAATAATGGTGGTGAGAATCTGAGAAAAAGGAAAATAGCCATACAATCCAAGAAATTAAAATGGGATAATACTGTGCTTTTTACCTTGTAATACGCCTTGCTCACAGGTGACATTCTAACTTACCCTGGCAAGTGTCAGTCATCCTGTTTGTCCTGTTCTACACTGATTTTGCAAATATAGCACTGTTATTGCTATGCATTTTACCCACTTTTGAGTCCTGCACCCCTTGATGGATTTTAAGAATAGGTACTATGCCTAATGTAGTTCTCGTATACAGTAGCCTCTTTAATGGGCTGACAAGGTCTTAAACACCTCTTTCCGGAACATTTAACAAGGTCAAAAACCTGAGTCTTCTCTATGGTTCCAAAACACACACCAAGTGTCTCCTAACCAACTCTGCCTATGGGTAAGACCAGTCTGCTCATAGGCAATCTCTGAGCAAGTTCAGAACTGTGCAGTAAGTAGAATGCTATGAATTACCATTTATATTACACTTAAATTGGTCTTATTAAGAGATTAACTATAGGACAAAGGATAACTCCTAGAGGCTTAAGAACTCTTTTGAAAAATGTATCTCTTTGGAGGAATCTAGAAAAAAACATCATCCAACTAAAAAGATATTTGGTTGTGTGGGGGAGGCAGGGCATAGGGAGATTATATAACAAGGGAAAGAAGCTCAGAGGTACTACAGACATGTATTCTAGCAACATTTCTCTCCATCTCTGTGTGTGTGTGTGTACATGTGGGGGGTGTGTGTGTGTGACTGAGACATATATATGTATACATGTTTGAAAGAGACATTTTTTACATGGGCTAAATCGAATAGATGCTTGCACCATATTGCACTTTTGCTCTATTTCTTTGGATATTCTGTCACTAAACCTCAGGAAATTAGATCAAATTGTTTTTCGTTGCTTTGAACATTGGTTTAGAATTTCTGGAATTCCAACTCTATAGGCAGATAATGGACAGCATCTTTGGGGAGCTTTTATGGACAGCAGCTTCTTCTCCAGAAATAGTTAGCAAGAGGCTGTAAAACAAATACCCTTGGCCTGAGTTTTCTGGCATTTTTAGGATTCTTCCCTTCCTACTTTGGCTCATAGCTCTTTTTTTTTTTTTTTTCTAGCATTTCTAGAGAGCAACTAATACCAGTGCTTTTAAGTAAAAATCACAAGCTTCTCTCAAGGACGAATTTTGCTGTAAAGCTTCTCAGAATACTTGGAGATTGGAGATCATCTACAGGATATATATTTAAGTGACAGCAAGTTAATTAAGAAAGTAAAGGAATAAAAGAATGGCTACTCCATAGGCAGAGCAGTGGCATGGGCTGCTCGACTGAATATACTTATCGTTATTTCTTGATTATATGCTAAGCAAGGATTGGATTATTCATGAGTTTTCTGGGAAAGGGGTAAGCAATTTCTGGAACTGAGGATTCCTCTCCTTTTTAGACCATATAGAGTAACTTCCTGATGTTGCCATGGCATTTGTAAACTGCCAGGGCACTGGTGGGAGTGTCTTTTAGATTGCTAATGTCTTATAATCAGTGAATAATGATCAATGAGGCTGACCAGAGGTCATTTTTGTTGTCATCTTGGTTTTGGTGGGGTTTGACCAACTCCTTGACCACCTCCTACATTTTCTTGATGACTGAAAAGTATTCTGAGTGTTCCCTTAGGATTTATTTTGAAGGAAATAATCATGCTCCTTATACCCACTTCTATTAGGTTTTTGTTTGTTTGTTTTGTTTTTGGTCTGTTTGTTTGTTCTTTTGAGACAGAGTCTCGCTCTGCTGTCTAGGCTGGAGGGCAGTGACTTGATCTTGGCTCACTACAACCTCTGGCCTCCCAAGTTCAAGTGATTCTCGTGCCTCAGCCTCCCAAGAAGCTGGGATTACAGGCATGCACCACCATGCCTAGCTAGTTTTTGTATTTTTTTTTTTTTTTAGTAGAGACGGGGTTTTGCCATGTTGCCCAGGCTGGTCTTGAACTCCTGGCCTCAAGCAATCCACCTGCCTCAGCTACCAAAAGTGCTGGGATTAAAGGTGTGAACCACTGCACCTGGCCGAGTTTTTATACACCCCAAAATATCTTCACACATATTATATTGACAAGTTTTCCTAACTGGAAGTGTCCAAACTCAGGTACTATTATGTCAGCTCAACCTAGTTGTGCTAACTCCAACCTGGGGGCCAGGAGGTTTCACAATGATTCAATGGTCAATTAAATTCATTTGAATTCAAGGTTTATTGCAAGGTTTTTCACCAACCAACAAACATGCGAATATATTTGACACACACAGGCAGTAATAAGAGAGAGAAAACTAATGATAACGAATAGCTTAGAACCTGGGCAATCTGGATTTCCCTCCAAACATCAACCAGAGATTGGGGTGGAAGTCACTGCTCTTCCCCAGGCAGAGCTTCCTTGGGCCACTGCCAATGTCCACTGCCAATGGAGTTCCAAGACAGAGCTTCTGCAGGTGTCTTGATTGTGGTCAGTTTCTTTGCTGTGTTTATGTCCCTCTGCAGAAATATCCATGGTCATTATATACTCTGCCTCTTGTCTTCACTTTCTTTTCAGGTCTCAGGGGTGCCTGGCCACAGTAGGTGTTATCACGTCAGTCCACTGTACATATGCTTATCACTTTGAGGGGTCAACAGTTTCACTGTGGGATGAGTTGTTGTAAATGACAACTTGTCATACATGACACAATTTTGAGAAATTTAGGATTAATAAAACATTATGCATCAGGTGCCCATGATACTTAGTAAAAGCTCTGACAGATTTTTCATATGTCTGTGCCATATATCTGTGCATTCTGGACATCACTTTCTTTCTCTTTTATGTCCACATATCTAGTCCTGTTCATTATACCTTCTTGGGAATCTCTTGAATCTTCTCTCCATCCCAAGCACCATCACCCTAACAGAGCCACCGTTTCTCATGTGGATGTTGTAAAATCCTCTTTGGTTTCCCTACATCCACCACTGATTTCCTCTGATGATTCTTCATACAATAGTCAAAGTAACTTTATAATAGTAGAGAGATCATTATATTCTTTTTCTAGTTAAACCTCTTCCAATGACTCCTAATTGTTCTTAAGGTAGGTCCAAAATCTTTAATGTTATCCATAAGGTTCTGTAGAGATTGGGACCTGCCTACCTCAGGAACCTCATCTCTTGTAATGTTCTCTTTTGAGCTATGATCTCTGGCCATCTTCCAGTATTTTTCTCTTGTCTGCCTCAGGAACCTTCATGCATTCTCTTTCCTCTTTGTGGAAATAATTTTCTACACTCCTCCATCCACTCCTTCATCCAGCTAACTCATATTAATTCTTTACATTTTAACTTATATATTCTTTGGGGATAATTCCTTGACTCCATTTATCACCTTATGAATAGATAGGATCAATTATATACTCTCAGCACAATATACTTCATTAGGCAATCATCATTGTCATCAATTGTGTATACTTATCTTCTTCTTTAGACTTTAAACTCCAAATGAGCATGAGCCATATCTTGTTCTTTTTACTTTATACCACTGCATTCTCTATGCTTGGCATCCAGTAGATGAACAGTAAATATTCATCTTTCACTTGCTAGTGTCTGTGGAAGTGCACGCATAGCCCTTAGTTCAATAAGGTAAATTTGAACAATGCCTCCAGTGAGTTCCTGATTATAAAATTAATATTTTGGACCACATAAAAAATTTAAATTTTTTCTCTTGTTTAATATGAACAAAACTTCTCATGTTAATAGCATGTCCCTGAAAAATTATGTCTTTTTAAAAAATCTCATATGATGCCTTCACAATATATAAATACATAGTTGGTGAATTCTTAATAATGCTTGGGAGGGCTTTCCATTGCCTTAATTCTTTGTCTTCTTCAACATCTCTAGGGATTTGTTGATTTCATTTCATTGTCCTTTTAGTTTAATATTAACTTCTGAATTCTAAGAACCTGGTAGAAATTTCTCAAATAACTCACCTGGAAGATTCTTTAAATTACATACCACCATGTTCTACTCAAAACTATCTCTTTGCTTCTGGAACAGATTTAAGAACTTTTATCCTCTCTCATGGGGTGCATTACTTTCCAGTCTGGTACATTGTCTAGAAAAGTGTCGGTGACCCTGATTCATCAAGTCATGGGCTACTTTTCACCCCCAAATTTCTTAGTCATTGTCTCTGCTGTGGGGCCCCACTAGTTCCATGCCATTAAAATTCAGACTTGAGTCATCTTCATTGAAAATAATATTGATACTATCCAAAGGAAATACAAACAATTTAAAAAATATATAGATCAAGTCTATGTTTATAGCTTTTTCTTTTCTAGGACTAAAGTTTTAAATTTACCTATTTACTAAATGGTAACATTTTTATGGCCTCTCATCGGGTTTGGAATATATATATATGTGTGTATTATATATATTATTTCAAATTTCAATTCTGTGTGGATTGAGATGGGTGAGGAAGCTGCAGAAGAAAAGGGGTGAAGATAACATAGTATGAGGTTAAAGGAAAGAAGCCATCTCCATATCATAAAAGTGCAAGGTAAAGCAGTAAGTGCTGATGTAGAAGCTGCAGCAAGTTATCCAGAAGATCTAAGATAATTGATGAAGATAACTACACTAAACAACACATTTTTAATGCAGATGAAACAGCTTTCGGTTGAAAGAAGACACCAACTAGGACATTTATAACTAAGAGGGGATGTCAGTGTCTCGCTTCAGAGCTACAAAAAATAGGCCGATACTCTTATTAGATGCTAATACAGCTGATGACCTTAAACTGAAGCCAACGCTCATTTCCCATTCAAAAAAGCATAGGGCTCTTAAAAATTCTAAAGAATTTTGCTAAATTTACTCTGCATGTCCTCTATAAATGAAATAACTAAGCCTGGGTGACAGCATATCTATTTATCCAATGGTTTATTGAACATTTTAAGCCTGCTGTTGAGATCTAATGCTAAAAAATATATATATTTTTCAAAACATTACTGTTTGTTTTGGTTGGTAGGTTTTTTGTCATTAAATATGAAAGTATAATTTTTCATAATTAAAAGACATTGTTTAAAGCAAAAATAATAGCAATGTATTGTGGAGGTTTTAACATGAGGGAAAGTAAAACATTTGACTACAATTACACATGAGAGATATTAATGTCATTATGCTTTTTAAAGATTATTTTAAAGGGTATCAGATATTTACTTAGGTGGGTCTTAATAGCAATTATAAAAGGATTTCTACTTAAATTATCTCATTTAAACTTGAAAACATGACCCTACAAGTTAGGAATTTTTTTTCTTTTTTGACTTTTATTTTAGATTCAGGGGGTATGTGTGCAAGTTTATTACCTGGGTATATTGCGTGATGCTGAGGTATGGGGTATAAATGGTCCTGTCACCCAGGTAGTGAGCATAGTACCCAAAAGTTACTTTTTCAACCCTTGAACCTTCTCACCCTCCGCCTTGAGTAGTTTATAGTATCTGTTGTTGTCATCTTTATGTACATAAGTACCTAATGTTTAGCTCACATTTATAAGTTAGAACATGCAGTATTTGGTTTTCTGTTCCGCCATTAATTGTTTAGGATAATGATTTCCAGCTCCATCCACATTGCTGCAAAGGACACGATTTTGTTCTTTTTTATGGCTGTGTAGTATTCCATAGTGAATATGTACCATATTTTCTTTATTCAGTCCAGCATCGATGGGCACCTAGCTTGATTCCATGACATTGGTTTTATGGAAAGTACTATGATGAACATGTGAGTACATATTTTTTTGGTAGAATGATTCATTTTCTTTTGGATATGAACCCAGTAATGAGATTGCTGGGTTGAATGGTAGCTCTATTTTAAGTTCTTTGAAAAAATCTCCAAATTCCACAGTGGTTCAGTGCCTGAACTAATTTACATTCCCACAAATAGTGTATACGTAGCTCCTTTTCTCCACAGCCTCACCAACATCTGTTGTTTTTTGACTTTTTACTAATAGGCATTCTGACTACTGTAAGATGGTATCTCATTGTGGTTTTGATTTGCATTTCTCTAGTGATTAATAATTAGCATTTTTGTATGCTTCTCGGCTGCCTATATGTCTTCTTTTGAGAAGTGTGTGTTTATGTCTTTTGCCTATTTTGTAATGATGTTATTTGTTTTTTGGTTGTTGAATTGTTTAATTTCCTTACAGATTCTGGATATTAGATCTTTGCTGGATGCATTATCTGTGAACATTTTCTCCCATTCTATAGGTTGTCTGTTTACTCCTTTGATAGTTCCTGTTGCTGTGTAGTTCTTTAGTTTAATTAGATCCCACTTGTCAATTTTGGCTCTTGTTGCAATTACTTTTGAGGACTTAGTCATACACTCTTTATCAAGGCCTGTGTCCAGAATGGTGTTTCCTAAGTTTTCTTCTAGGATTCTTATAGTTTGAAGTCTTACATTTAAATGTTTAATCCATCTTGAGTTGATTTTGTATATGGTGATAGGTAGGGGTCCAGTTTCATTCTTGTGCATATGGACAGCCAGTTATCCCAGCACCATTTATTAAATAGGAAGTCCATTCCCCCATTGCTTGTTTTTGTCCATTTTGTCAAATATGAGATGGTGGTAGGTATGCAGCTTTACTTTTGAGTTTTCTATTCTGTTCCATTGGTCTATGTGTCTATTTATTTACTAGTACTGTGCCATTTTCGTTACTGTAGCATTATATATAGTTTGAAGTCAGGTAATGTGATGCCTCCCCCTGTGTCCTTTTTGTTTAGGATTGTTTGGGCTATTTGGGTTCTTTTTTCATTGCATATGAATTTTAAAATAGTTCTTTCCAATTACATGAAAATGATGTTGGTAATTTGATAGTAATAGTACTGAACCTGTAGACTGCTTTGGGCAATATGGCCATTTTAACAATATTGATTCTTCCAGTCCATGAGCAGGGAATGTGTTTGCATTTGTTTGTGTCATCTATGATTTCCTTCAGCAGCGTTTTGTAGTTCTTCTTGTAGAAATCTTTTAGCTGCGAGGGTCCATTCCAAGATGGCTGAATAGGAACAGCTCCAGTCTGCAGCTTCCAGCGTGATCAATGCAGAAATTGGGTGATTCCTACATTTCCAACTGAGGTACCTGGTTCATCTCATTGGGACTGGTTGGACAGTGGGTGCAGCCCATGGAGGGTGAGCCGAAGCAGGGCAGGACATTGCCTCACCCGAGAAGTGCAAGGGGTCGGGGGATTTCCCTTTCCCTTGTCACAGCCAAGGGAAGCTGTGACAGACTGTACCTGGAAAATCAGAACATTGCCAGCTAAACACTGCACTTTTCCAACCATCTTAGCAAACGGCACACCAGGAAGTTATATCCCGTGTCTGGCTCAGCAGGTTCCATGCCCATGGAGCTGTGCTCACTGCTAGTCTGATATCAAACTGTAAGGTGGCAAGCCTGGCTGGAGGAGGGGCATCCACCATTGCTGAGCTTTGAGTAGGTAAACAAAGCAGCTGGGAAGCTTAAACTGGGTGGAGCCCAACGAGGCCCACCTGCCTCTATAGACTCCACCTCTGGGGGCAGGGCATAGCTGAACAAAAGGCAGCAGAATCTTCTGCAGACTTAAACGTCCCTGTCTGACAGCTCTGAAGAGAGCAGTGGTTCTTCCAGCATGGTGTTTGAGCTCTAAGAATGGACAGACTGCCTCCTCAAGTCCTGACCCCCGTGTAGCCTAACTTGGAGGCACCTCCCAGTGGGGGCCAGCTGACACCTCACATAGCTGGGTTCCCCTCTGAGACGAAGCTTCCAGAGGAAGGATCAGGCAGCAATGTTTGCTGTTCTGCAATATTTGCTGTTCTGCAGCCTCCTATGGTGATACCCAGGCAAACAGGGTCTGGAGTGGACCTCCAGCAAACTCCAACAGACCTGCAGCTGAGGGACCTGATGGTTAGAAGGAAAACTAACAAACAGAAAGGAATAGCATCAACATGAACAAAAAGGAAATCCACACCAAAACCCCATCTGTAGGTCACCATCATCAAAGACCAAAGGTAGATAAAACCACAAAGATGGGGAGAAACCAGAACAGAAAAGCTGAAAATTCTAAAAACCAGAGTGCCCCTTCTCCTTCAAAGGATAACAGCTCCTCACCAGCAATGAAACAAAGCTGGACAGAGAATGACTTTGATGAGTTGACAGAAGTAGGCTTCAGAAAGTCGGTAATAACAAACTTCTCTGAGCTAAAGGAGGAAGTTCAAACCCATCACAAGAAAGCTGAAAACCTTGAAAAAAGATTAGACAAATGGCTAACTAGAATAAGCAGTGTAGAGAAGACCTTAAATGACCTGATGGAGCTGAAAACCAAGGCGCAAGAACTACGTGATGCATGCACAAGCTTCAGTAGCCGATTTGACCAAGTGGAAGAAAGGGTATCAGTGTTTGAAGATCAAATGAATGAAATGAAGTGAGAAGAGAAGTTTGGAGAAAAAAGAATAAAAAGAAATGAACAAAGCCTCCAAGAAATATGGGACTATGTGAAAAGACCAAATCTACGTTTGATTGGTGTACCTGAAAGTGACAGGGAGAATGCAACCAAGCTGGAAAACACTCTTCATGATATTATCCAGGAGAACTTCCCTAACCTAGCAAGGCAGGCCAACATTCAAATTCAGGAAATACAGAGAACACCATCAAGATACTCCTCGAGAAGAGCAACCCCAAGACACATAATTGTCAGCTTCACCAAAGTTTAAATGAAGGAAGAAATGTTAAGGGCAGCCAGAGAGAAAGGTCAGGTTACCCACAAAGGGAAGCCCATCAGACTAGCAGCTGATCTCTCGGCAGGAACCCTACAAGCCAGAATAGAGTGGGGGCCAATATTCAACATTTTTAAAGAAAAGAATTTTCAACCCAGAATTTCATATCCAGCCAAACTAAGCTTCATAAGTGAAGGAGAAATAAAATCCTTTACAGACAAGCAAATGCTGAGAGATTTTGTCACCACCAGGCCTGCCTTACAAGAGCTCCTGAAGGAAGCACTAAACATGGAAAGGAACAACCGGTACCAGCCACTGCAAAAACATGCCAAATTGTAAAGACCATCGATGCTAGGAAGAAACTGCATCAACTAACGGGCAAGGTAACCAACTAACATCATAATGACAGGATCAAATTCACACACAACAATATTAACCTTAAATGTAAATGGGCTAAATGCCCCAATTAAAAGACACGGACTGGCAAATTGGATAAAGAGTCAAGACCCATCAGTGTGCTGTATTCAGGAGATGTATCTCATGTGCAGAGACACATATTAGGCTCAACATAAAGGGATGGAGGAAGATCTACCAAGCAAATGGAAAGCAAAAGAAAGCAGGGGTTGCAATCCTAGTCTCTGATAAAACAGACTTTAAACCAACAAAGATGAAAAGAGACAAAGAAGGCCATTACATAATGGTAAAGGGATCAATGCAGAAAGAAGAGCTACCTATCCTAAATATATGCACCCAATACAGGAGCACCCAGATTCATAAAGCAAGTCCTTAGAGACCTACAAAGAGACTTAGACTCCCACACAATAATAATAGGAGACTTTAACATCCCACTGTCAATGTTAGACAGATCAATGAGACAGAAGGTTAACAAGGATATCCAGGACTTGAACTCAGCTCTGCACCAAGCAGACCTAATAGACATCTACAGAACTCTCCACCCCAAATCAACAGAATATACATTCTTAGTACCACATCACACTTATTCCAAATAAGTGCACTCCTCAGCAAATGTAAAAGAACAGTAATCACAACAAACTGTCTCTCAGACCACAGTGCAATCAAATTAGAACTCAGGATTAAGAAACTCACTCAAAACTGTACAACTATATGGAAACTGAACAACATGCTCCTGAATGACTACTGGGTAAATAACGAAATGAAGGCAGAAATAAAGATGTTCTTAGAAACCAATGAGAACAAAGACACAACATACCAGAATCTCTGGAACACATTTAAAGCAGTGTGTAGAGGGAAATTTATAGCACTAGATGCCCACAAGAGAAAGCAGGAAAGATCTAAAATGGACACCCTAACATCACAATTAAAAGAACTAGAGAAGCAAGAGCAAACACATTCAAAAGCTATCAGAACGCAAGAAATAACTAAGATCAGAGCAGAACTAAAGGAGATAGAGACACAAAAAACCCTTCAAAAAATCAATGAATCCAGAAGCTGGTTTTTTGAAAAGATCAACAAGATTGATAGATCACTAGCAAGACTAATAAAGAAGAAAAGAGAGAAGAATCAAATAGATGCAATAAAAAATGATAAAGGGGATATCACCACTGATCCCACAGAAATACAAACTACCATCAGAGAATACTATAAACACCTCTATGCAAATAAACTAGAAAATCTAGAAGAAATGGATAAATTCCTCGACACATACACCATCTCAAGACTAAACCAGGAAGAAGTTGATTCCCTGAATAGACCAATAACAGGCTCCGAAATTGAGGCAATAATTAATAGCCTAACAACCAAAAAAAGTCCAGGACCAGATGATTCACAACCGAATTCTACCAGAGGTACAAAGAGGAGCTGGTACCATTCCTTCTGAAACTATTCCAATCAATAGAAAAAGAGGGAATCCTCCCTAACTCATTTTATGAGGCCAGCATCATCCTGATACCAAACCCTGGCAGAGACACAACCAAAAAAACGAGAATTTTAGAACAATATCCCTGATGAACATCGATGTGAAAGTCCTCAATAAAATCCTGGCAAACTGAATCCAGCAGCACATCAAAAAGCTTATCCACCAAGATCAAGTTGGTTTCATCCCTGGGATGCAAGGCTGGTTCAACATATGCAAATCAATAAATGTTATCCATCACATAAACAGAACCTAAGACAAAAACCACATGATTATCTCCACAGATGCAGAAAAGGCGGCCTTTGACAAAATTCAACAGCCCTTCATGCTAAAAACTATCAATAAATTAGGTATTGATGGGATGTATCTCAAAATAATAAGAGCTATTTATGACAGACCCACAGCCAATATCATACTGAATGGGCAAAAACTGGAAGCATTCCCTTTGAAAACTGGCACAAGACAAGGATGCCTTCTCTCAGCACTGCTATTCAACATAGTGTTGGAAGTTCTGGCCAGGGCAATCAGGCAGGAGAAAGAAATAAAGCATATTCAATTAGGAAAAGAGGAAGTCAAATTCTCCCTTTTTGCAGATGACATGATTGTATGTTTAGAAAACCCCATCTTCTAAGCCCGAAATCTCCTGAAGCTGATAAGCAAGTTCAGCAAAGTCTTGGGATACAAAATCAATGTGCAAAAATCACAAGCATTCTTATACCCCAATAACAGACAAACGGAGAGTCAAATCATGAATGAACTCCCATTCATAAATGCTACAAAGGAATAAAATACCTAGAAATCCAACTTACAAGGGATGTGAAGGACCTCTTCAAGGAGAACTATAAACCACTGCTCAACGAAATAAAAGAGGACACAAACAAATGGAAGAACATTCCATGCTCATGGATAGGAAGAATCAATATCGTGCAAATGCCCATACTGCCCAAGGTAATTTATAGATTCAATGCCATCCCCATCAAGCTACCAATGACTTTCTTCAGAGAATTGGAAAAACTACTTTAAAGTTCATATGGAACCAAAAAAGGGCCTGCTTTGCCAAGACAATCCTAAGCAAAAAGAACAAAGCTGGAGGCATCATGCTACCTGACTTCAAGCTATACTACAAGGTTACAGTAATGAAAATAACATGGTACTGGTACCGAAACAGAGATCTAGACAAATGGAACAGAACAGAGGCTTCAGAAATAACACCACACATCTACAACTATGTGATCTTTGACAAACCTGACAAAAACAAGAAATGGGGAAAGGATTCCCTATTTAAAATATGGTGCTGGGAAAACTGGCTAGCCATATGTCGAAAGCTGAAACTGGATCCCTTCCTTACACCTTATACAAAAATTAATTCAAGATGGATTAAAGACTTAAATATTGGACCTAAAACCATAAAAACCCTAGAAAAAAATCTAGGCAATATCATTCAGGACATAGGCATGGGCAAGCACTTCATGACTAAAACACTAAAAGCAATGGCAACAAAAGCCAGAATAGACGAATGGGATCTAATTAAACTAAAGAGCTTCTGCACAGTAAAAGAAACCTTCATCAGAGTGAACAGGCAACCTACAGAATGGGAGAAATTTTTTGCAATGTACCCATCTGACAAAGGACTAATATCCATAATCTACAAACAACTTAAGTTTACAAGAAAAAATCAAACAACCCCATCAAAAAGTGGGCATAGGATATGAACAGACAGTTTTCAAAAGAAGACATTTATGCAGCCAACAGACAGATGAAAAAATGCTCATCATCACTGGTCATCGAGAAATGCAAAATCAAACCACAATGAGATACCATCTCACACCAGTTAGAATGGTGATCATTAAAAAGCCAGGAAACAACAGGTGCTGGAGAGGATGTGGAGAAATAGGAATGCTTTTACACTGTTGGTGGGAGTGTAAATTAGTTCAACCATTGTGGAAGACAGTGTGGCGATTCCTCATGGATCTAGAACTAGAAATACCATTTGACCCAGCCATCCCATTACTGGGCATATACCCAAAGGATTATAAATCATGCTACTATAAAGACACATGCACATGTATGTTTATTGCAACATTATTCACAATAGCAAAGACTTGGAACCAACCCAAATGTCCATCAATGATAGACTGGATTAAGAAATTGTGGCATATATACACCATGGAATACTATGCAGCCATAAAAAAGGACGAGTTCATGTCCTTTGTAGCAACATGGATGAAGCTGGAAACCATCATTCTCAGCAAACTATCACAAGGACAGACAACCAAACACCACATATTCTCACTCATATGTGGGAATTGAACAATGAGAACACTTGGACACAGGGCAGGGAACATCACACAGTGGGGCCTGTCATGGGGTGGGGGCATGGGGGAGGGATAGCATTAGGAGAAATACCTAATGTAAATGGTGAGTTAATGGGTGCAGCAAACCAACACGGCACAGGTATACATATGTAACAAACCTACACGTTGTGCACATGTACCCCAGAAATTAAAGTATAATAAAAATCAATCAATCGATCAATCAATCTTTTAGCTGCCTGGCAAGAATTATCCTCAGGTATTTTTTTTTACGGCTATTGTAAACAGGATTGCATTCTTGATTTTTCTCTCAGCTTGAATGTTATTTGTGTATAGAAATGCTACTGATTTTCGTACATTGATTTTATATCCTGAAATTTTGTTGAACTCATTTATTAGTTCCAGGAGCCTTTTGGTAGAGTCTTTAGGATTTTCTAGGTGTAGAATGGTATTGTCAGCAAAGAGACATAGTTTGACTTATTCTTTTCTTATTTGGAAGCTTTTCTTTCTTTCTTTTGCTTAATTGCTCTGGTGAGGACTTCCAGTACTATGTTGAATAGGAGTGGTGAGCGTGGCCATTGTTCCAGTTCTCAAGGGAATGCTTTCATCTTTTTCCCACTCATTAGGATGTTGGCTGTGAGTTTGTCATAAATGGCTCTTATTATTTTTAGGTATATTCCCTCAATTTCTATTTTTTTGAGGATTTTTGACATGAAGAGATGTTGAATTTTATCAAAAGCCTTTTCTGCATCTATTGAGATAATCATATGGTTTTTGTTCTTAATTCTGTTTATGTAGTGAATCACATTTATTGATTTGCCTATGTTGAAGCAACCTTGCATTCCAGGAATGAAGCCTACTTGATTATGGTGAATTAACTTTTTGATGTGCTGCTGGATTTGGTTTCTTAGTATTTTGTTGATGATTTTTGTGGCTATGTTCATCAGGGTTATTGGCCTGTAGTTTTCTTTTTTTCATTGTGTACTTACCAGGTTTTGGTATCAGAGTGATGTTGGCTTTGCAGAATGAGTAAGGAGGTGTCCTTCCTCCTTGATATTTTGAAATAGTTCCAGAAAGGCTAAGTGAAATGTTTTCACGTCATACCATTAGTGGTAAAGCTGGAGCGATGGACTTCCCTTTTTATTTTCTTTTCCACATTCCCATTAGGTCATATATCTAATAAAATAAGAACATGATCTATATTGTTAATTACAGGCACCAGGAACTGCTTCTCCACATCTTAGTTAAGGATGTTGCTAAGAAATAAACTGCTTGGGCCCAGAATATAAGAGTCACCTTTGATTCCTCTCTTGTTCTAGTGACCTACATCTAATCCTTCAGATAATCCAGTCAGTTGTCTATTCAATGTAAATTCAAAATCTGCTTCCCTTTTGCCATTTACTCAGTCAAAGTCACCATTGTCTCTTTCTTGGGCTACTGCAAGAGCCTTATCATTAGTCTTTTTTAGATCTCCTCTTGCTCCTTCTATTGCATTTGCCACCTAGCAGTCAGGGTTCTGAAATATATCTCTATTTCTAATTCTGTATCTATTCTATCTCTTCTCTCTCTCTCTCTTTCTCTCTCTCTATATATATATAATGTGTGTGTGTGTATGTTTAATCACTCCCTTGCTTAATATTCTCCAATGGCTCCCCATTTCACCTAGGGTACAGTCCATGCACTTCTCCCTGACTTCCAAAGCCCTTCATGATCCAGTCCTTGTCTGTGTCTCTAACTCATTGCTTATACTCTCTCACTTGTTTACTATGATCCAGGCACACTGAGTCATTCCATCTCTCTAATACACCTGCTATCTTCCTGCCTCCATCCATGTTCATGAGTCCTTTTCTCTGCCTGAAATAGTTTACACCCAGACCTTCACGTGGCTGGTGACTTCTTATCATTCAGGTCTCGCCTCAGATGTCATTTCCTCAGACAGCGCTCTTAAGGGAGGCTTTTCTGAGCACAATTTCCCCCCAGGTACTTTCTAGCAAATTATCCTGTTGGAATATTCACAGCTTTTGCTGCTATCCAGAATTACATATTTTAAAATGACATGATTATTATCTGCTTTCTGTACTAGAATGCACAATTCAGGAGGGCATGGTCTTTGCCTAACTTGTTCACTTAATTATATCTCCAGTGCCTAGAATAGTGCCTGGCACATAGTTAACTGTTGAGCAATAAAGACTGGAAGGTGAAGAATGCTCTGTTCTCAAAATGATTCACACCGAGGCCTTTAAGGTCAATGTAGCTGTGTGTAACAAGCAAGATACTTAAATTTCCTTATTTTTACAGTAATAATAATAATGACTAATAGAGTAAGCTTATCAAATTACTGTCAGAATATCAAGTAGGTTAATGCATGCAAAGTGCTTGGCCTTGTGCCAGGCACATAGTAAGTGCTCAATGACAGCTTAAAAAAAAAAAGCAAAGAAATAAAACTAACTTTAAAATTTGATGTCAACTCATAAAACTGATTTCTGAGGCCTCATTTTTTTCTTTACTGTACTAGCTCAGTATTTTTTCTTAGAGAGGAAAAAGGGATTTGGAAAACAAATGTGAGAGAGTAGAAAGACAAAGAGAAATGGCATTGAAAACCAATCTCTTTGCCCTTGTTGCCCTTGGTTTGATCTACCTCCTCTGTTTCACTTTTTTGAAGCAATTCAGGTATGAAGATAGAAGGAGGATCAGGAAGCAGAACACATTAAAATTCCACATTTTATTTACCATATGGCTAACTATGTACTGTTAGTGGAATTCTCCAACTTTATACAGTTTAGTCTACCCGCAATGAGCAATTAGCAAAATTATAAGCAGTAAACTTAAGCTGAAAACCAATAGATGATACATTTGTTAGTTCCAGATTAATGTTTGGCTATTTCTAATACACAGGATTTAAGTTTATCTAAAATTGTAGACAAGCCTTTTTTTTACTCCCAACCAAATAATCTTCCGTTACTTACAAACAATTGCAATTTGGAGCCTCATTGATGGGAAAACAGAAAGGGGAAGAACTAAAGTTCTTACAACTTCAAAATAAACCTGAACAGTTGACCCATGAGAGGATGCAGACTCTGATAGTCAGGTTATCCCTGGTCTCTTGTTCTTTTACTCTTCTTTTCCTAGACATAAACCTGAATAACATTAATCAGGCTAGCAGGAATTTCTATTGCTTTAAGATTATTTCAAACTAAGATGGAAAACTATACAAAATGTTTTCTTCATGTAGTCACAAAAACTGAAAATATCCAAGTTTCAGTCACTGCTTCAATTATCTATTACAACCCTAGCTGGGCCATTGTTGGGAGCGAGGTGAAAGGGCTTTAATTAGAATAGACAGTAGGACAAGATTAGGTGGAAATGTCTGACCTCACAATTTGGAAAAATAAATCTGCTATATAGTTAACCTCAGCACTTCCAGATTTCAGAAACTATAAACAATATGCAGTAGACTTTTCTATTAATTCCTATTTGTCTCTTAACTAAAACGTCAGTTAAATCCTTAGCTTGACATATAGTCAGGAGATCTAGTTTTATCTTAAGATTAGATTTCTCCTCTTGCTTTGTCTACATTCTGGTTCTCTTCTTTCTGTTCCTTGGCCTTTCTGTACCACATTTCCTTTCTTTCCTTTGCTAAGAATGTTTCAGTGGGTTCTTAGGCTGAGTGGAGAGTGGAGTCACATGCCAGGAATTGGATCCCAACTCGGCCACTTCCTTTGTAGATTTTTACCTTTCTCCCTCTAAATGGGATTTAGCTGAAAAGTTCATGGGGGTAAAAGTGAATATTAACTGGATTAAAAAAGGAAGCTGTTTACTAGAGTTACTAGCACATAGGAAGTACCATGAACATTCTGGCTGTTATCATTTCCAGTAGAAGATTTGATTTAGTTTCATCTGCATTTATTCAGATTTTACTTTTATTAACCAGTGTTTTCAACAGCATGCTTGAAGAGGTTGTTCTCCTCATTATATCTTTCCAATGGCCTCTACTAATTGCTTATTGCTCAAGAAACCGTTTCTATGATGGACATTGGAATTTTTTTCTGACCCACAACCATCCCAGTTTATCTTTTAAATAGTACTTAAAGTTTCCTTTTGGGGAGTTCTTTCACCACCTTTTGGCAGAATTTTTCAAATAAGTGCTTTCTTCTCTCCCTCAAGCCCAATTGGGCACTCATGGAATTCTCAGAATTTGATAGAATGACAAATAAATTGAAAATGGTTGGACCTCTTCATTCCAGCCATAGCACCTGGATGAACTTCTCGAGTAACTCCTTCCAGTTTAGACTCTCTAAAAGCTACCTGCCTGTGAGCTTTCCTCTTAGGTCTGGGTGCTCCCCCTATATCCATCCAATGAATTCTTTTTACTCAAGCTGGCCAGAGTAAATTTCTCTTACCCAAAATGGATGAATCCTGTCTGGTAGAGATCTTTTCTCTGTTTGTTAGCGATGCTCCTCTCCAATCTACAAATTCTGTGCCCACTCAAGTGTTTTGCCCTATTGTATTCTATGTGCTACTGGCTACTGGCTAGTTGCCTTTTTGTTTCCTACTGCAGGACTTGGAAATGTATTTCATTCTACTGCATTTCGCATAAAGAATAGTTTCTTGATTAGTATCTGAATTGAAAACAGTTTCTCAGTTGAGGAAAATTATCAAAGCTGTACTAGGCTTGTTTATAATGGCCTGCTATTTCCGCAGCCCCTTCTAAGGGAAGCTGCTGAGGTCCTTGCTCACTAATGAGTAGGTTTGTTATGGGGATGTACCACATGACCACACCATCTGGCTGTTACTTATTGGACCAAGATGTGCATCTACCCCAAGGCAGCAAGTCTAGTTCCAGCAAGGCAGAAACCTATGGCTTGCATAGCCTGGCTCAAAAAAATGGGAAGAAAGCCAATCAGATCCCCCTCTTAGGAATTTAGAATTGGGAAACAGTCCTGCCTAAAGCAGTTAACCTTAGGGACATGTATCAATACGATGTATAAAGAGTTGTTACTGTGTAGAGGGGGTTGAAATAGTCACTCAGAGACATACACAAACTGAAGCTGCAAAGGATCCCTAGAGGAGAGGCAGGCAAATGAAATAGTGTAGCAGAAAAAAATCCCAGAAATTTATGAAGCTGTGATTTCTGTAGAGGAGATAGGGAGACTTTGGTTTCTGATGGCTTTCTTGGTCTAATTCTTGTGAGGCCTTGTTACAGGTAGTTAGGCATAAGTGTGGCAGGAAAGGGTTCTCCCCTCACCCACTAGAAATATCCAGTGATAGTTCGGCAATTATCACATTGCCTATCTGAGAGTGATAATC
This sequence comes from Homo sapiens, assembly GCF_000001405.40. Classification (NCBI taxonomy): domain Eukaryota; kingdom Metazoa; phylum Chordata; class Mammalia; order Primates; family Hominidae; genus Homo; species Homo sapiens. The sequence continues at coordinate 80,528,083 of NC_000013.11, forward strand.
TAGCAGAGCCAGGGAGTGGCCATTTCCTGCTGGTCCACATCTTTAACACCAAAATGCTAACTGAACACAGACCCCTGGGAGAAGAAACTTTCTGGGCATGCATATTAAGAAACAAAAATGGCGAAGTATGATCTCCTGGGTACACTCCACTGGAAAGAGTAAGAAAGCCTCAGCTGGGCATGTGTATAACTCCCTAAACATGCTGCACGTGCTCACTTCCCAAGGGTAAGGAGGGCTCTGCGCATGTGGGCAGCCCACCCTAAGGGAAGAATCATGGAAAAGAGGTGAGGTTATAAAACCCTTAGGATCAGGGTTAAATGGAGCACTTGACCTTCTCTTTTTAACCTTCATGTGCCTGCTTGGGTCTCTTCCAAGTTCACCTTCCTTTCTTTCCTGTTTTAAGGCCTTTTAAAATAAACTCCCATTCCTGCTCTGGAACTTGCCTTGGTCTCTTTTTCTGCTTTATGCACCTCGGTAGAATTCTTTCTTCTGAGGAGGCAAGGACTGTAAGTTGCTATGGACTTGTAAGGATAGACCGCCTATAACTTGGGGTAACTCGGATCTCTTCCACCGGTAAACGCCTGGCTATATAACATTACTGCTCTCAAATTTGGGGGATCTTTATGTACCTTTAAATATATCCTACCACCTTTTTTCTATGGTTTGTGAAGCCAAATGTTTCTTGATTCAAATAGACATTATACTACTTCCTGTGTGACATCAGTGAATCTATTCTTCTTCAGTAGGAGGCCAGAATTATTTCTGCTAAACCACTCTAGTCATTGTGTCTGAACTACAATAGCGTGAGAAATTTGTTATTTTTTATTAAATTTTTGGTTTTGCGTATGCTGCCCTTCTTCCTAGATTGCATCATCATCTGATTGTCAGATTCTTATACATTCTTTAAACCATATTTCCTCCCCATGTGTTCCATGAAGTTACCCTAGATCATTTGTAAAAGTTGTCCACTCCCTCCCATTGTGTGATTACTACAACTTGTCTATACTAATATTCTTCATTCAGACATCTTATGAATTTCGTTCAGTAAGGACTGTAAAAAGTTTATGAAATTGGGACAGTTGATACTACTAACTTTTAAAATTTTTTAATAAAAAGTAAAGATTGTATATATTGAAGGTGTACAATGTGATGACTTGATATACAAACACATTGTATAATGATTACAACAATCAAATTAATTAAAACATCAATCACCATTCATTCTGTACCTTAGATGCCCAGAATTTGTTCATCTTATAACTGAAAGCTCTTACTGTTTGGCCAACATCTCCATATTTATTCCACCCCCAGAGCCTGGTAACCACCATTCTTATTTCTGCTTCTACAAGTTCAGCTTTTTGAAATTCCACATGTAAATGAGATCATGAGATATTTGTCTTTCTGTGCCTGGCTTATTTAACTTAGCGTAATGTCCTCCAGATTCATTCATGCTGTTTCAAATGGCAGGACTTCCTTCTTTTTAAAGGCTAAATGATATTCCATTGTATATATGTATCACATTTATTTAATCTATTCCTTTGTTAATAGACACTTAGGTTGATTCCATATCTTGGCTATTATAAAAGTGCTGCTATGAAGCATGGCAATACAGATATCTCCTCAACATCCTGATCTCATTTCCTTTTGTTATATTCCCAAAAGTGGAATGGTTATGTCATACTGTAGTTCTATTTTTAATTTTTTGAGGACACTGCATACTGTTTTTCATAATGGTTGTACTAATTTACATTCCTATCAACTTTGTTAAAAGGTTCCCTTTTCTTCTTATCCTTACCAACACTTATCGCTTGCCTTTTTGATAATAGCCATTCTAAGAGGTGTGCAGTGATGTCTCATTGTAGTTTTGATTTGTTTTTCTTTGATGATTCACTTTGTTGAACATTTTTTCACGTATTTGTTGGACATTTGTACATCTTTGGAGAAATGTTTATTCAGGTTTTGCCCATTTTAAAATTGCGTTATTTATCTATTTGCTGTTGAGTTGGGTGCATTCCTTATATACTTTGGATATTAATCCCTTATCTGATATATGGTTTGCAAATAGTTTCTCCCATTCCACAGGTTTCCTTTTCATTTTGTTGGTTGTTTCTTTTGCTGTGCAAAAGCTTTTTAACGCTTTTCCCATTTATCCCTGAGAATACTTGCCAGCAGCACTTATGTCTGCATCATTTACCCCGAGATAACTTTGCCATGAAATATCTGGCTTTTATTACTATTTCACATCTCTCTAGTGTATCGACTTTGGAAACAAAATACATTGTTCTATTTATAGCATTCTGGTTTTAGTAGTGGTATTTCCATTTACAAAATATAGTGAATCTTGATTGCTGAAAATGTCAAATCCTAGAAAATGCAGCATTCCTATACGTTGTTAACATTGTTCTCTAACAGTTGTTGGCAGATTTATTTGATGAATCTGATTTTTCCAAAATAGATGATTCAGATGATTCAGACAATTCCAATGTTAGCTCTGTTTAAAAATAACTCCAAGAACAGTTTTTATATTTTATTTTCACATTGAAAATTAGTCAGATTTGCTTCAACCTCAAAGAGCATGGTTATTTAAAATTAGGTGAGTGCTGGAAGTGAGTTATACCTTTTTTTTAAACAGAAAAAGGATTAATTTTATGTAGTCTTGCTAGTTGATTTTTTTCTTTTGTTGCCTCTGCTTTTGGTGTTATATCAAAAAATCATTGCCAAGATCAATGTCAAGGAGATTTCCCTCTATATTTTCTTCTAACAATTTTGCAGTTTCTGATCTTAAATGTAAGTTTTTTTATCCATTTCAAGTTAGTTTTTGTTTAGGATATAAGAAAATGGTCAAATTTCATTGCTTTGCAGGTGAATAACCAGTTTTCCCGACACCACTGAAGAGACTTTCCTTTCTCCATTGTATATTCTTGGTGCTCTTGTCAGAGATTAGTTGACCATAGAGGCATGGGTTTATTTCTGGACTTTCTCTTCTATTCCATTGGTTTAAATGTTTATTTTTATGCTAATGCCACACTGTCTTGATTACTATAGCTTTGTAATGTAGTTTGAAATAAGGAAGTTTGATGCTTTGTTATTGCTTCTCAAGCTCACTTTGGGTGTTTGGGGTCTTTGGTGATTCCATCAGAATTTCAGAAGTGTTTTTTCTATCTCTGTGAAAAATGCCATTGGCATTTTGATAAGCATTGCATTTAATCTGTAAATTGCTATGGATACTAAGAACTTCTGATTTGTCTTTTTATCCTGGTGTTCATGCCTTGTAAGTGGAAAATAAAATTAGTGAAATTTCTTTCTGAACCTTTGTTTTTCTCATCCTTTCTTCTCTGTTAACTTAAAAATCTTCAATGTATGTGTTCTACACATACTACTATGTGAGGCAGATAGACATTATCTTGTAAAAGAAGAAAACAAAAATCTTAGTTTCTCAAAACTTCTAATTGAAAGTCAAAGAGTATAATGTTGCCCTGTAATAAGGGGCCAGAGATTGTGTTTGAATGGATCCTATCTGTCAAGCCATTAGTGATCTATACCAAGACCCACCATACTATTAGACATTGATACCTATCTATAGTCAGTGCAGTTCACCAACTCTGTGATCCATTCAAGAGTGGCATGGATCAATGTGATGTTTCAAGCTCTTCAATTTTTCCCTTTAAAATAAAAAATCAATTCTAATTTTCAATAAAATTGGAACAGTTGTTTCATTCAGATGTAACTACCCCTACCCTTACTCCTTTTGTAAATGCCAATTCCCTTTGATAAACATTGTCAAAATCTTTTGGAAGTTTCTTAGAATCACACTGTTACAATTGTAGAATGGCTTTTATAAACTTTAGCTACTAAGGCAGCAATTGCATGGTGGTCAGTATTATGGGGTCTGGAGTCATGTTTGGTTTGACTTTAGTTTTTACAGCCTAATAGTTGTTGCTTTGGCTAAGTTGTTTAATTTCCCATATAAATGTATTTAAAATGGTGATAGTGATAGTGCCTATGTGTACAAGTTAGGGTATAGGGTAATCTCTATATAACACAATTTTCAACTACAGTGAATTAAAAATTACAGGAATTATTTCTCACTCACATAATAGTCCAAAACTAGGGAAGTATTTAGAGGAGAAAAGTGGCTCTATGATCCTTATACATTGCTGCAACTTGTGTATTCAAAATGGCTACTTCAGTTTTCATCATGTGCAGGTGGTAGAAAGGAGAAAAAGTTGGGGAAATCCTATGACAATTGTTTTCCAGGAAATACCTGGGAATTGTACACACATGACATCTTCCTCATTTTACAAAAGGTCCCCACTTGCTTTAAGACGGGCTGAGAAATACATTCTTTAGCTGAGCAACCATGTGTCCAGCTTTGAGACTGGGGAAGGTAAGAATGGCCAGTAGGGTCATTTAGTTTTCTGTTGCAGTGCCTCACAAGGTTGTTGTGAGGTTTAAATCAGTCAATATAGTTATTTGCAAATGATTTAAATCTCAGAAAATTTAACGTATCATTCTGTGTTGATGGTTTATTTGGAAAACTTTTATTTTCCTACCAAAGAAACAATGCACAAACTTTTGGAAAGGAATTTACATGTAACTGAGAGTCTGTACATTTGCTCTGGTTTTCTTTGATATATTTAACTAGAAACCTCAATTTTCTCAAGGAATATTTAATATAATCCTAGATAGCTAGAACTCTGTACAACACACTTGGGAAACACTAGTGTGTTATTTTCCTTGTGGGGAATAACTTTAATTGTACCAAGTTCTTCATGAAAAAGAAATTAGGTTATTTCATTTATTTTTATGTGCCTGCACAATTGAAATAGCACTGTAAATTGTTCATACATTTAACTTATTTAACTTGCTGCTAAACGTGTGTGAGAAGAACAAAGGTATTTGCCAAAGGCACTTTGAAAACATTGCAGATGCTTCATTGGTTATAGTGTTATTTTAATTTTCTAATACTTTCTGAATAAATTCTGATCTTCAGTAACTTTCTTTGAAAATAATTAATATCATTAATATCAAATTTATCAACAGAGAACTCTATTATTATTTTATAATTAAGAAAAAACTCTTGCAGTTATATCCTCTTTTCAAGGCCTAATATTTGTTACTTACATTTTCTTAAACTTTTTAGAAGTTTGTGTATTTTATTAGCCTTTTTAAAGAACAAGCTCTTTCTTCCTTTTCTTGAAACAATGTTTCACTCTGTCACCCAGGCTGGAGTGCAGTGGCACTGTCACAACTCACTGCAGCCTTGAACTCCACCAAGTGATCCTCTCACCTTAGGCTCCCAAGTAGCTGGGACTGCAGGCACATGGCACCATGCCTGGCTAATTTAAAACATTTTTTAAAAAAGATAGGGTCTCACTATGTTGCCCAGGCTGGTCTTGGAACTCCTGGGCTCAAGTGGTTCTCATGCCTCAGTCTCCCAAAGTTCTAGGATTACAGGTGTGAGCCACTGTACCCGGCTCCAATAACCAGCTCCTGATTTTACTTCTAATTCTACTGTTTCTCTGTTCTATAGCTTGTTAATTTTTGTATTATTATTTTCTCCTGCTTTTAAGGTATTTTGTTCTTATGTTCATAATTTTAGTTTAATCCTGACTATACTTTTTATTATTTCTTACTTAAAAAGGAAGCAATTCATGATTATGCATTTTTTTCTGAGTAGTACTTGAAAAATAATCCTCGCAGGTAGATAGCATTTGCACTTGGTTATTTTTAAAGTAGTTTTAATTGCTGTATTGTAATATTGATTTTTTTCTGTGACCCAGAATTATGATGAGGTAGGGTATGTGTGTGTGTGTGACTGTTTCTATGTGTGATTGTGTTTGTGTGTGTGTCTGAGAAAGAGATAGGGAGACAAAAACGGAAAAGCATTCTTTTTTAACAATTTAAACTTTGGCCAATAAGCTCTTATTTTACTGAATTTAGTTATCTTAAGTGTTTTTTTTTTTGTTTTTTTTTTGTTTTTTTGGCAACAGTGGTACAACAGTGGAGAAAGTTGTCAGTGTGCCTCCTTGTTTTGGCTTTTTGCTCATAGCACACACGTACCTACTTATTTCGCCTCCACCTTACTTTTGGGGGACATTGTTATTAGCAGTCTTGTGTCCTGGTGATTTCAAGTCTTTAAGAAAATGGATATTAGTCCTTTTTCAAAAAAAAATTGAACAGCTCATCTTAGATCTTTCTAAGTGGCTCTTGAATTCTTCTATGGCATAATTTTCTATACACTTCAGAAACTTTCATATCTGTTCCTTTATTTTTTGTTTCAGAAGTATTTTGCAGATTATTTCCAAAGAGCTCTATAAAAAATCCTCCTATTCTACCACCTCTTAGTAATGTGGCTTTATCAGTCTTTTTTTTTAATATTTTAATTTTCAGGTTCAGGGGTACATATGCAAGTTTGTTATATAGGTAAACTCATGACTTGGGGGGGACGTTGATGTGCAGATTATTTCATCACTGAGGTAAAGCATAGTACCCAATAGTCTTTTTCTCTGAACCTCTCCCTCTTCTCATGCTCCACCCTCAAGTAGGCCCCAGTGGCTATTGTTCCCCTCTTTCTGTTCATCAAGAGATGAAATCTCTTTCCATTCCCTTTGATTCGCGCTGATCCTGTGATCTGCTGTGTGTAATGGAATGCAACGGATATTGCTTCTGGCCCTAAGTCTTAAGCGGTCTTGAGGCTTCCATTTTCACCTTTGGAAAGATGCTCAGCCTGGACCATCAAATGATAAGAGCAGATTAAGACTTTCAAGTGGGGAGACACTGACAGTATCAGAGTCCCACATATGGGACCCACCATCTTGAACCCTGCAGCTCCAGTCAAGCCACCCTAGCCAACCCTATATAAAGCAAGAGCTGAGCTGTCTTCTATGAGCCTTGCTTAGATTCCTGGCCTGCAGAATTGTGAGTAATGAAATGGCTGTTGTTCTAAGCCACTAAGTTTCGGAGTGGATTTTTCTGCAGCAATAGATGACTAGAACTGGCTTTTCTTCCCCTTGACATCACATTGTCTTTTAAGGCAGGAGTCATGTCCAATGCAATGTGTGTGTGTGTGTGTGTGTGTGTGTGTGTGTGTGTGTGTGTGCGTGCCCATGTGCCTATGTGTTTATCTCCACAGTGCAATGTATTGGTTACATAATAGCTGTCACTGACTGAATTAATTTTACCTCATATGTCTGGAGAGAACTTTTCAAAATTAGGCAGATAAGGTTTAGTCACTCCTAGTGTGTTTTTGAAAAGTAGCTCTGTTCTAATTTGATATTTTAATGTATGGCCTTATGCAAGTCAATGGATTGCTTGAAGCCTTGGTGCTGTTACTCAAGGTCTCTGAGACTCTGTCTTTCCCCTAGAAATTTGGCGAAACCACCATCCTACTACTAGCTCCAGTTAGAACCACTAGTAAAACAGAATAATAGTAGGTTGGTATAAAGCAATGGCAAGAAGAAAATGTAAATTTAGCCTTGCCAAATTTAAAGGCAGTTCAATTTATATGTTCTTGGCCTTCTATTTTAGAGTAAAATAAATAATACCAAATAAAGCAAAACAAGGAGTATAGGAGTGATAACGTGGCTCCTACAGAACTCCATATTTATTGTAACTAAGAAAAACACAAACTGAGGAAACAACTATTAAATTACAGCTAATGCAAAATGTGACAATATACTGTACAAAACCCATGGTCTTCTATCATGAGGAGAAAATGAAAACTCACTTCTCAGTGAAATATAATATTTCAAACAGGTGTGTCCATGATTAAACTTTTAATTCGATTTGATTCATTCATTCCTCCTTTTCTTCCTTCTAGTGGATGGGCTAATCACATGTAAAAGTATAGAATAGAATGATTGAAAAAACAAGTTTTTGTCCACTTTAAGTTACAAAATTCAACATTTTGATTGGTTGGAAATGACTTTCTATCTTCCTGTCACCTCTGATAGCTACAAATGGGAAGTTGTTATTTATCTACTTTTATTTATTCCCTAAGTGCCTAAATAACAGCGGCTTGTATTGAATGACTGTAGGGATTGTCTCTCTTTCAAAAGTAAGTCATTCATTAGGGTGCCTTACCTTTCCGAAACAACATATTCTCAGCTGCATGGTGGCTGGAAGCCAGAGAAGCAATTTCCTTTCCTTTAATAAGGGGTTGGAAAGCATCTGATTATATCAGGAAGAGGTATGTCAGTTTTCAAGGTGAAAGAACACTTGCTTCTTTTATAGATAATGAAAGAAATAAGATACATTACTGAAAGACGGAGGGCACAGCCATTAAAAATAGCCAGGAAGGGTGGGACATAGTCTGTTACAGGTTATCTCAATGTAAATTAGCAGAGTAGGGTAACAATACCAGTTTTCTCTTTTACCACTTAGTTCAGCTTTTAAGATAGTTTTATTTTTAACATTTTCTATGCTAAAACAACTAATAGTACAATATTTGTCACTTAGAAGGTCTTAAATTTTATTTCCCTATCTCAGACAAATATTAAATGTTTATAATAGGATTTACAATATGAATATAACTTATATTTAACTTATTTTACCCCGTACTTTAGAATTTTGTTTAATAGAGAACATCAAGGCTTCTAGAACTAGCAGACATAAGAATAATAGCTAGTGAAATTACCTTTAATTGTTGTGAATCTAAGATAAAAGAACATACATGAAATATGTCCAAACTTTATAGGATATTCAAATAATATTTATTGTGTACCCTTTTCCACATATCCTGTACAGCAGTTCTGTCCTATAGAAATATAATATGAACCGCAAATATGATCCACTTAAGATGTAATTTTAAATTTTCTGGTAGCCATGTTTTGAAAATCAAAAGAAACTGGTGATATTAGTTTAAATTATATACTTTATTTAACCCAATATATCCAAATGATATTTCAACATATCTTTATATTATGAATGAGACATTTTATATGTGTTTTTATACTGAGTTTAGATTTGTTATGTACAGATTTTACATGCAGCATACTTCAATTTGGACTAGTCATCTCTTTAGTGCCTCTATAACCAAATGGGTCCAATGACTACCATACCAGACAACAATCCTATGTTTTCTTTATTTGATTCCCTGTATTGTTTTCCCTGAAGTTTGTTTCTAAGACCATGCCTTCAACTTTTTGTCCTTCTAAAACATTTTCCCATGTCTACTTTGGGAGAAGCACATAAAGCCCCCTCCCTCTGCATGTGGAAGTTTTCTTGAGTCTTCCTCATGAATATCTTTTTTTATTATTATTATACTTTAAGTTCTGGGATACAAGTGCAGAACTTGCAGGTTTGTTATATAGGTATACATGTGCCATGGTGGTTTGCTACACCCATCAACCCATCATCTACATTAGATATTTCTCCTAATGCTATCCCTCCCCTAGCTCCCCACCCCCAGACAGGCCACGGTGTGTGATGTTGCCCTCCCTGTGTCCATGTGTTCTCATTGTTCAACTCCCACTTATAAGTGAGAACATGCGGTGTTTGGGTTTCTGTTCCTGTGTTAGTCTGCTGAGAATGATGGTTTCCAGCTTCATCCACGTCCCTGCAAAGCACATGAACTCATTCTTTTTTATGGCTGCGTAGTATTCCATGGTGTATATGTGCCACATTTTCTTCATCCAGTCTATCATTGATGGGCATTTGGGTTGGCTCTAAGTCTTTGCTATTGTGAATAGTGCTGGAATAAACATATGTCTGCGTGTGTCTTTAGAGTAGAATAATTTATAATCCTTTGGGTATATACCCAGTAATGGATTTGCTGGGTCAAATGGTATTTCTGGTTCTAGATCCTTGAGGAATTGCCACACTGTCTTCCACAATGGTTGAACTAATTTACACTCCCACCAACAGTGCAAAAGCATTCCTATTTCTCCACATCCTCTCCAGCATCTGTTGTTTCCTGACTTTTTAATGATCACCATTCTAACTGGTGTGAAATGATATCTCATTGTGGTTTTGATTTGCATTTCTCTAATGACCAGTGATGATGAGCGTTTTTTCAAATGTTTGTTGGCTGCGTAAATGTCTTCTTTTGAGAAGTGCCTGTTCATATCCTTCACCCACTTTGTGATAGGGTTGTTTTTCTCATGTAAACTTGTTTAAGGTCCATGTAGATTCTGGATATTAGCCCTTTGTCAGATGGATAGATTGCAAAAATTTTCTGCCATTCTGTAGGTTGCCTGTTCACTCTGATGATAGTTTCTTTTGCTGTGCAGAAGCTCTTTAGTTTAATTAGATCTCATTTGTTAATTTTGGCTATTGTTGCAATTGCTTTTGGTGCTTTAGTCATAAAGTCTTTGCCCAGGCCTATGCCCTGAATAGTATTGCCTAGATTTTCTTCTAGGGATTTTATGATTTTAGGTCTTATGTTTAAGTCTTTAATCCATCTTGAGTTAATTTTTGTATAAGGTGTAGGAAGGGGTCTAGTTTCAGTTTTGTGCATATGGCTAGCACCATTTATCCCAACACCATTTATTAAATAGGGAATCCTTTTCCCATTGCTTGTTTTTGTCAGGTTTGTCAAAGATGAATGGTTGTAGATGTGTGGCATTATTTCTGAGGCCTCTGTTTTGTTCCATTGGTCTATATATCTGTTTGGTTACTGTAACCTTGTAGTTTAGTTTGAATTCAGGTAGCGTGATGCCTCCAGCTTTGTTCTTTTTGCTTTGGATTGTCTTGAATGTACAGTCTCTTTTTTGGTTCCATATGAAATTTGAAGTAGTTTTTTTCTAATTCTGTGAAGAAAGTTAATGGTAGCTTGATGGGAATAGCATTGAATCTATAAATTACTTTGGGCATTACGGCCATTTTCATGATATTGATTCTTCCTATCCATGAGCATGGAATGATTTTCCATTTGTTTGTGTCCTCTTTTATTTCCTTGAGCATTGGTTTGTAGTTCTCCTTGAAGAGGTCCTTCATATCACTTGTAAGTTGTATTCCTAGGTATGTTATTGTCTTTGAAGCAATTGTGAATGGGAGCTCACTCATGATTTGGCTCTCTGTCTACTATTGGTGTATAGGAATGCTTGTGATTTTTGCACATTGATTTTGTATGCTGAGATTTTGCTGAAGTTGCTTATCAGCTTAAGGAGATTTTGGGCTGAGACGATGGGTTTTTCTTTTTTTTATTATACTTTAAGTTTTAGGGTACATGTGCACAATGTGCAGGTTAGTTACATATGTATACATATGCCATGTTGGTGTGCTGCACCCATTAACTCGTCATTTAACATTGGGTATATCTTCTAATGCTATCCCTCTCCCCTCCCCCAACCCCACAACAGGTCCTGGATTGTGATGTTCCCCTTCCTGTGTCCATGTGTTCTTATTGTTCAATTCCCACCTATGAGTGAGAAAGTGCGGTGTTTGGTTTTTGTCCTTGCAATAGTTTGCTGAGAATGATGGTTTCCAGCTTCATCCATGTCCCTACAAAAGACATGAACTCATCATTTTTTATGGCTGCATAGTATTCCATGGTGTATATGTTCCACATTTTCTTAATCCAGTCTATCATTTTTGGACATTTGGGTTGGTTCCAAGTCTTTGCTATTGTGAATAGTGCCGCAATAAACATACGTGTGCATGTGTCTTTATAGCAGCATGTTTTATAATCCTTTGGGTATATACCCAGTAATGGGATTGCTGGGTCAAATGGTATTTCTAGTTCTAGATCCCTGAGGAATCGCCACACTGACTTCCACAATGGTTGACCTAGTTTACAGTCGATGATGGGGTTTTCTAAATATACAATCATGTCATCTGCAAACAGAGACAGTTTGATTTCCTCTCTTACTATTTGAATACCCTTTATTTCTTTCTCCTGCTTGATTGCCCTGGCCAGAACTTCCAATACTGTGTTGAATAGGAGTGGTGAGAGAGGGCATCCTTGTCTTGTGCTGGTTTTCTAAAGGAATGCTTCCAGCTTTTGCCCATTCAGTATGATATTGGCCATGAGTTTGTCATAAATAGCTCTTATTATTTTGAGACACATTCCATCAATACCTAGTTTATTGAGAGCTTTTTTTTTTTTAAATCATGAAGGGTGTTGAATTTTATCAAAGGCCTTTTCTGCATCTATTGAGATAATCATGTTGTTTTTGTCATTGGTTCTGTTTATGTGATGCATTACATTTATTGGTTTGCATATGCTGAAACAGCCTTGCATCCCAGGAATGAAGACAACTTGATCACGGTGGATAAGCTTTTTGATGTGCTGCTGGATTTAGTTTGCCAGTATTTTATTGAGGATTTTTGCATCAATGTTTTTTAGGGATATTGACCTGAAATTTTCTTTTTTTGTTGTGTCTTTGCCAGGTTTTGGTATCAGGATGATGCTGGCCTCATAAAGTGAGTTAGGGAAGGGTCCCTCTTTTTCTATTGTTGGAATAGTTTCAGAAGGAATGGTACTAGCTCCTCTTTCTACCACTGGTAGAATTTGGCTATGAATCCGTCTGGTCCTGGGCTTTTTTTGGTTGTAGGCTATTAATTACTACCTCAATTTCAGAACTTGTTATTGGTCTATTCAGGGATTTGACTTCGTCCTAGCTTAGTCTTGGGAGTGGGTATGTGTCCAGGAATTTGTCTATTTCTTCTAGAATTTCTAGTTTATTTGCATAGAGGTGTTTATAGTATTCCCTGATAGTAGTTTGTATTTTTGTTGGATCAGTGGTGATGACCCCTGTATCATTTTTCTATTATGTCTATTTGATTCTTCTCTCTTTTCTTCTTATTAGTCTTGCTAGCAGTCTATCTATTTTGTTAATCTTTTCAAAAAACGATCTCCTGGATTCATTGATTTTTTTGAAGGGCTTTTTGTGTCTCTATCTCCTTCAGTTCTGCTCTGATCTTAGTTATTTCTTGTCTTCTGCTAACTTTTGAATTTATTTGCCCTTGCTTCCCTAGTTCTTTTAATTTTGATGTTAGGGTGTTGATTTTAGCTCTTTCCCACTTTCTCCTTTGGGCATTAAGTGCTATAAATTTCCCTCTACACACTGCTTTAGCTATCTCCCAGAGATTCTTGTATGTTGTATCTTTTTTCTTATTGGTTTCAAAGAACTTATTTATTTCTGCCTTAATTCTGTTATTTACCCAGTAGTCATTCAGGAGCAGGTTGTTCAGTTTTCATGTACTTGTGTGGTTTTGAGTGAGTTTCTTAATCATGAGTTGTAATTTGATTGCACTGTGGTCTGAGAGACTATTTGTTATGATTTCCATTGTTTTGCATTTGCTGAGGAATGTTTTACTTCCAATTATGTGGTCAATTTTAGAATATGTGCCATGTGATGCTGAGAAGAATGTATATTCTGTTGATTTGAGGTAGAGAGTTCTGTAGATGTCTATTATGTCTGCTTGGTCCAGAGCTGAGATCAAGTCCTAAATATCCTTGTTAATTTTCTGTCTCATTGATCTGTCTAATATTGACAATGGGGTGTTCAAGTCTCCCACTATTATTGTGTGGGAGTCTAAGTCTTTTTGTAGGTCTCTAAGAACTTGTTTTATGAATGTGGGTGCTCCTGTATTGGGTGCATATATATTTAGGATAGTTAGCTCTTCTTGCTGCATTGATTGCTTTACCATTATGTAATGGCCTTCTTTGTCTCTTTTCATCTTTGTTGGTTTAAAGTCTGTTTTATCAGAGACTAGGATTGCAACTCCTGCTTTGTTTTACTTTCCATTTGCTTGGTAGATCTTCCTCCATCCTTTTATTTTGAGCCTATGTGTGTCTTTGCATGTGAGATGGGTCTCCTGAATACAGCACACTGATGGGTCTTGACTCTTTATCCAATTTGCCAGTTTGTGTCTTTTAATTGGGGCATTTAGCCCATTTACATTTAAGGTTAATATTGTTATATGTGAATTTGATCCTGTCATTATAATGCTAGCTGGTTGTTTTGCCTGTTAGTTAATGCAGTTTCTTCATAGGGTCGATGTTCTTTACAATTTGGTATGTTTTTGCAGTGGCTCGTACTGGTTGTTACTTTCCACATTTAGTGCTTTCTTCCAGAGCTCTTGTAAGGCAGGCCGGGTGGTGACAAAATCCCTCAGTATTTGCTTGTCTGTAAAGGATTTTATTTCTCCTTCGCTTATGAAGCTTAATTTGGCTGGACATGAAATTCTCGGTTGAAAATTCTTTTCTTTGAGAACATTGAATATTGGCCCCCACTCTCTTCTGGCTTGTAGGGTTTCTGCTGAGAGATCTGCTGTTAGTCTGATGGGCTTCCCTTTGTGGGTAACCCGACCTTTCTCTCTGGCTGCCCATAACATTTTTTCCTTCATTTCAACCTTGGCGAATATGACAATTATGTGTCTTGGGGTTGCTTTTCTTGAGGAGTATTTTTGTGGTGTTCTTCGTATTTCCTGAATTTGAATGTTGGCCTGTCTTGATAGGTTGGGGAAGTTCTCCTAGATAATATCCTTAAGAGTGTTTTCCAACTTGGTTCCATTCTCCCCATCACTTTCAGGTACACCTATCAAATGTAGGTTTGGTCTTTTTACATAGTCCCATATTTCTTGGAGACTTTTTTTTCATTCTTTTTTCTCTAGCTTGGTCTTAGGGGGCACCCACCAGATGCCAGCTGGAGCTCTCCTGTATGAGGTGTCCATCGACCCCTGCTGGGAAGTGTCTCCCAGTCAGGAGGCACAGGTGTCAGTGTCCCACTTGCGAAGGCAGTCTGTCCCTTAGCAGAGCTCAAGCATTGTGCTGGGAGAAATTCCATATACTTCTAATTATATCCCAATTTATTTATCAAGGGAGCTGTCTGACATTTTGCAACTGAAACTCTCTGAGGCTTGGTTTTGAAACTTGTAAAACAATGGAATTTTGTAAAATTCATTTTTACAGGAAATGTTAACCAGATGACCTCAGAGGTCTTCTATTCATCGACTACTCTTTAACTCTAGTTTTTGTATTAAAAACTCATACTCAACATTGTGCAAGTGGTTGCCATACTGTATATCAAGTCTTCCCTTTACTCTGGGGTATTTCTATATATGCTGCATATCCTGAGTAGACACTCTTTTATCTAATGGAGCCCACCAAATTCTTCCTTCATCATGTATCACTTCTATCTAGACTCCAATTGTCTCTCTAGGATTTTTGTAGGTGTTATTCCATTTTTCATGTTATGTGTCTCTTATGTATGTTGGATTTGTGATCAGCTGTATCTCTGACCACATATTTATGGATGTAGAGAAACAGGAGAAGCCCTAAGTTTGTATTTGTAGGGAATATAAACTAGACACTGGAGAAGCAAGGCTCCAAGTTCAATATTGAAGTATAAAATCAACCTAAAAGTGAGAAGTAAATGTTGTCCTCATTTGGAAAACTTAAGCTGGAGCTAATGTAGAAATATAAGAGCTGGGAATTTTATATATATGTATTTTTTCATCACATAGATTTTGTACTACTAATATACAAATTAACTCCTGATAACGAAGTAGTTTAAATGCTATAAAGTTGAATTGTATAATCTATTATGTAAGTCCAGTCTGTGAAATTTATATAGCTATCAGTGATCATAGAATATTTTCAAAATATGCCATGTGGTGCCATCTCAACTGCAGCATAGTGAGGCCCCATGGAGATGTGGAACAGCATTCACCCTGTTTAGTATATTGTGCACGGCAGCTCTTTTAAGCACAATAATATTACTTATTCAACAGCATCCCATTAGAACAATTCCTCAGAAGGTTCTTCTCTTCTAGCCATTCCACTACACTCAAGACATGCTCTCTACTGCTTCCACTGTTACTAAAATAACTATGTCTGCTTCTGTTGCTTTTGTCTTATGCTTAACATTGAGAGATAACTAGATGATATAGCTTATATCCAATACAGAACAGCTTTTCTAGTTGGTGTTCTGCAGACTGCCACTTAAGGAGACAGCATCCTTTGTGTCTAATCTAGAGATGGCTGATCATTGGTCCATTTGACTGTGATACAGAATTCATGTTCACATAACCCAAAGCATAGAAACTTCCATGCAAAGAGCTATCTAGAATTGCTTTCTTAAGTAAATTTTTGGTTATGTTTAGTACATTTAGAACTTTATGCATTTCCTAAGGCCAACACTGACTACTATTCAGGAACTCTTTAAAACACCAGTATTATAAAACAAATAGGACATAGGCTGTTTCCTAAAAGAGCTCACAGTACAACATAGAAATGCAAAAATTCTTCTTCTTTCAAAATATAGCCATACAGAGAGATAAGTGGCGGCACAATGAAGAAGTAGGTAAATTTTGTTGGAGAGTCCAGGAAAGCTTCACAGAAGTTGACCTTGAAGAAGAGACTTAATTGGAGATATTCCCAGCTGGGTGTAGAAATGGGGAAGGAGAGGAGAATTCAATTCAGGAATGATAATGCAATATGAACAGATGTACAGATGTATAATCTGAGAGCTGGAAGAAGTGTATTATGGTTAGAGTGTGGAATGTAAATGTGATACAGCAACAGATAATAGTGTCCAGATCGTGGAAAACCATGTGCTAATGGGTCTGGACTTTACCTGTAAGGAGAAGCTATTGAAAGGATTGAAGCCATTGATTAAAATGTCTCCTAAATATATACAAATATTGTGTTTCAATTAAAACACAAAATAATATTTTCATTTTAAAACAGATCACCATGATTGCAGTATATAAGAGGTATTGGAGATGCAGGAGGCCTGAGGAATGGTACTGGGAATGGGAGTGTTCCCATTGTCTGTGAAAGTGCTGTTGAGATAATGCTTTGAAAAGAGCAATGGATGGAGAGAATAGATCAGGCAAGCAAAAAGAGAAGGATTAACAATATACAAGTGTAGATGACTGGTGTGGAAATAAGGATGAAGGAGGAGACTAGGATTAATCCCCTGTTTGGTCATCTGTTTCTATGTGAATCATGATACTTTTCAAGAAAAAAGGGAGCTCAGAAGGACAAACTAATTTGGGAGAAATTCTGTGTACAATTTTAGTCATTTTAAGAGTTCCCAATCAGGGAAGTACAGTACATGTTGGGCATCTAATTCAGCTAAAGGTATGGATCAAACTGTCAGAGAATGGCTGGAGAAAAGAGGAGAAAACCAAAAACAAAGTTCTAAAATTCTGCTTAAGCTTTAAGAGATAGCCAAGCAGAAAGGACTGAGGGATAGAGAGGTAGGGAGAGAACCGAGAGAGAGAAGCAAAGATGTTAACAATGACGAGGAGCGCACATAGGTCAAATGAGATAAGGGCTGAAAACAACCCATTAGAAAATAGTGACATTTACTGGAGCATTTACAGGGCCATGGGAAGGATCGAAACTTATTATGTCATTTGAAGAAGTAAATGTGAGAAAATGGAGATAGCAATTTCAGCCATTCTTTTGAAGGCTTAATTGCGAAGGGGAGAGCTAGTCTAATGTATGCAGTAGGAATCGATGGAGATGAGATAGGGTCTGATTTTCTAGATTAATTCATTAATCTTTAAAATGGGAGAGCCATTTTGAGCGTGTTTATAGCCTATAAATTCGGAGCCAAAAGCAGGAGGGATAAATTATACAGAAGGAGGATGTAACTGTTGGATCAAAGTAAAAGTTAACTTTGAGGGGGAAAAAAAAGAAGACAGCTTCCTGTAGTATTAAGGAGACATGATATGAGTGGATGCAAACTCTCTTACTTAAAATCTGAACATCTTTACCTTAGCAATTTCTGAGAACATTACTTGAGAAGATACGTGCAGAGCTGTTCACCACACATAACATCATTAATGGTAATTTATCTATTTCCTGCAAACCTTAAAATTTTCTTAGTACTTGAATCTTGCAATTTTTTTCCAAAATTTTTTTTGGCACCAGAAAATATCCCTCTGAAAAAATCATCAGCATTGATTCTGGTTTCAGTTACTACCATTGCCAATTATTTCATCAACCTCAACACTCAACAGCCACGAACCTAGTTAATATTAAGATGGAGTTTCTTTCTCGAAGCACAGAATTTTCTCCAAGCTTGTTTCAATATAGCATATCATTTCTCAAAAAAACCTTTATAAGTTTAATACAATTATTGCTTAAAGTTGCTTTTAAAATAAAGAAATATAGAATTAAGTAAATGTGTAATTTTTTTATAGAAATTTATATTCCAATATTTCTACAAGACTTTTTATAAAAATAATGTCTATTTTCCTCTCCTTTATCCACCTCTCCTCAAAAATTTAAAAGCTTTCATCCATTGTTTTGATATTTTCCCTGTATATTTTAGTGATGTAGTTGTAGTTTTCTAGTTTAAGACATTATGTCTTGACTTGCTACAATGAAAAATGAATATATAAATCTTTTATATCTCTAATTTTCTTCACTTTTTTTTTTTTTTTTGACGGAGTTTTGCTCTTGTCGCCCAGGGTGCAGTGGCACAATTTTGGCTCACTGCAACCTCTGCCTCCCAGCTTCGAGTGATTCTCTTGCCTCAGCCTCCCAGGTAGCTGGAACTACAGGCATACACCACCATGTTCAGCTAAATTTTATTTTGTATTTTTTGGTGGACATGGGGATTCACCATGTTGCCCAGGCTGGTCTGGAACACCTGACCTAAAATGATCTGCCTGCTTCGTCCTCCCAGAGTGCTAAGATTACAGGCATGAGCCACCATGCCTGGCCAATTTCCTTCACTTTGTCCTCTCATTTTCCAAATATGTTTATTTTTTTGTTTGATTTATAATTTCTTTTTATGTTATTATATAATGAGAATATAAATATTTTGTTCACAGATAACTCACATAAGTTATGTTTATATTTCCTTTCTTAGATATTTTCTTTAGTTTTATTTTTGAGTTAAAAAATTGTGTGTGTATGTGTTTTGGTTGCTCTGTTTTCTATATACCTAGCAATAACTAATCCCCAAACTGTCTGCTAAAGTATACATGTTTTCTCGATATTTTAAACTTATTTACATTCTTATTAGTTCCATCTTCTTGACGAAATCCTTCTAGGAAAGTTTTTCTTCCTGGTCTCCTCTGGACTTATTGCTTGGTCCTTTGCAGAGCTATTGTTGTTTCGTAATCTCTCTAAACTGGCATCCAAAAAATTCCATGTCTTTCATTTTCTTGGTTTATACACTCATTTTGGTGGCAAGCCTTCTGTTATTTTCCTGAGAAAGAGTGTTTGGGAGATCAATTTTGTGTTAATTTGTACATATGAAAATGTCTTTACTCTCACATTCGATTCCCAGTTTGGCTGCTATAAACGTATAGAATGGCAGTAATATTTACTCCTAATTTTGAAGTCATAGTTTTAATTACTTTTTTAAAAAAAATTTTGCATCTAGTGTTGCTGCTTACAAGTTTGAGCCCATTCTGATATTTTCATTTTGCAAGTTTTGTCCCTGTGCTCTAAATTTTAAAGTGATATGCTTTGTTGTAGGCCTAAAAAGATTTTTTTCCCCACCGTGTTGGGCATTTCATGGGCTTTTCATTCTGAACTTGTTCCAGTTGGAACATTTGTTGAATCATGTGCTTGGTAATTTCCTTAACATAATTTCCTCTGTTCTTTGTGTTTTCCTATTATTCAGAGAATGAACCTTTTGGATTGATGCTCTATTTTTTTCTTCATGTTGAATTTTCTACATTTAGACTTTTTATTCTAATTTCTTAGATATCTCAAGCATTCAAAATTTTCTAGTTTTTTTTTTTTCATTTCTGCCATGATATTTCTGATTTCCAAAAGGTTTACTGATCTGGGTCTTGATTTTTTAATATCATGGTGTTCTTTTTCATTGAAGTAAAATTTCTTATCTCTAGATGGCCAGAAGCTAAACACACAA